>NW_021159997.1:0-73265 GCF_000001405.40 Homo sapiens | reverse complement strand
GGAAATTGTGCTTATATAAATTTGAAGAAAGACTTCCAGGCAAACTTAGACTAAAGTGGAAACAGTGCATGTCCTATAGTAGTCACTCAATAAATACTTAATGAATGAAAAATGCTTTCAAGCCTTTCAATCACATAGAAGAAAGTGTATATAATCAGAAAGCATTTTGCAAAAACTATTTAAGAAAGGCTGTAAAAGAACTTATTTTCACTAAATGATAAGTTTCTGAATTTCCAGCATTTGCACAGATTTGTGCCATTGCAGCAAGACAGGAAATTAGCTAGAGCTGTGGCAGTAGAGTCATGGGTACTGTATGTTTGAAGCAGCAATTTTCTGTAATTTCAAGACCAAACTCTGAATGAGTCCAAAAAGATTCTAAGGACACTGTGATTTACAAATGAGTCTAGGGTAAGAAAATGTTTTGTGCGTATGGCAAATATAGGTGCGGCATGGGGCTTGAATTTATAGAATTAGAAGGAAGAAGACAGTGACTCCCTGAGAGCAACGATATTCTGGTCACAACTGGATTGCCTATATCATATATGAAAATAGATGATTATTACATCACCTTCTACTCATGGCCAAAATGGTTCAGGACATTTCACCTATAACTTGTCTCTACAATGAGCTCCTCGCAGAAACTACTAGCAAATATGCATTGGCTTGTGAGTTAAAATTAGTAATTTCTCACCGAACTATTCAAAGATGTGAATGTATTTTACATTAATAATAAAACACATTGTAGTTTTTTGTGACAATGCTTATTTATGGTTTTTAAATCAATATTTGTGTGTGTGTGTGTGTCTGTCTGTGTGTCCATCTGTCTGCCTGTGTGCTTAATTAGAGGTTTATTCTATATATATCATTTATTTCATAAGTTCTGTTTTTTTTTTAAGTGAAAGATTGTGTAATATATCAAAAAAGAAAAGAAAGTTTTCAGGGGCTGTAAGCAGAAGTAACCGAATGGAGTGAATCTGTTCAAAAATTTAAATTATTGTCTTCCTGTACAGCTTGTGTTGAAGAAGACAAAGATAATATTTTTTAAAATATTGAAGTATTCTGTTTTGATTTCCTCTTAATTATACTTTATTTCTAACTTCAATCTCCTTATTTGGGAGGGCCCTTTAGGGAAGGGGGATAGGTAGCTAAGCTTAGAACAAGGCATTAGCTTGAAAACCAAGGTTTGTGGCAAGAGAGAGTTGCTAATTTCCTAAAGCTTCTAGATAACATATTGTGGACCAAGCCTGAATTATATATTTTTATATATATATATAGAATATATATAATATATGATTTATGTAAGAATCACAAATTTCTGCTAAATAAGCTTAATCTGAGGCTGGACTAAAAGAAGAATGAAGAATGACACAAAAGGATAAAAGTATAACCTTACCAAGAATGGTGAAGAAAGCGTTATAAATAAAAAAAGGCAGGCTGTAGCATTCTTGGCTCTTTCTTTTTCCTTCTCATTTGGAGACCAGTCTTGAGGAAAGAAAGAGGTGTTACAAGCATCCAGTAGGTATGCTAAACCCTGCAGGAAGAGATAATTCTGTTGACTCCCTTCCCTTGTATGACTCTGGAAGGAGGCACTGGAGGCACAGCATCCTCAAAACATCCTTGTTGGATCAGAGTGATAAGCTGAAAGAGGGCCTGGAAATGTGTTTTTCTCAGCTTATATAAGTGTCCAGAAGTTCTCATGTACTTAAAAGACAGACAGAGAAGGTGGTCAAAGGGACTGATGAGGAGTTTCTCAGTGACAATCACAGCTAAGAGAATGAGTGATTGGAGAATGAAACTTACAGGGAAGACTGTATTCATCTTGTGATCAAACAGGCCTGGTTTCCAGTTGGCCCAGACTTCATGACAGAAATTGGCTACTGTTCCCTAAGGGTGTTTTATGAGCTTTAAAAAAATAATTTTAGTTGTTCTCTTCTTTATTAGTTCAGTCATATCTCCAAGATATTGTGTGTGCCATATAACCAGCTACATTTTAAAAACAATTATTTAATACCAAAATGGCATAATTTTAGCTGAGATATAACTTCAGTACACAACCAGAAGGAAGAAAGAAACAGATGCAAATTGGAGAAGAATTTGTTGTGCTAAAGTGTGACCAAATATGAGCTTTAACACGTTAAAAGAAGTTACTATTTTAGCAATATGTTGTTATTATCAGTTAAGGTATCAGCGCAAGAACTTTGGTCTTCCCCAGTGAAATTGTACACATTAAGAGAAAGTAATTTCTGAGGGATTCTATAAATAGAGGGGGATGTCATCAACTATAACAAATTTAAGAAATGAAACATATATATTAATGGTTTTAAAATCAGATCTAAGAGATCACTTTGCACCTCAGATGCCATGAATCAAATAATTATGGACTGTAACATGAGATGGACTAGTTCGCTACCATTCTGAATAAGTATAGCACAAGGAAATTGAGTTTAAAATTTAAGAATAATTTATTGAATAAGAATCTAATACACATCAGTGAGATAGCCAGAAATGTCTTGTTCTGATGGTCTTTAGAATGTGATTTAGTCTTTATGCATAGCTAAAAATATGAGGAAGAGCCACACATCTTCTGAAGTAATTTCTTTCATGATTTTTTAATTATGAAATATTTCCTTATATTTATTGTACTCTGTGTTTTACAGGCTGTCTCACTCATTCAGATACACACACATCTACAATCTTTTAAACATGGCTAACGCTTAAGCAAAAATGCTCATGATTAATTATTTATATATGAACTTCTATAAATTTTATCTCACAAATGTTTAATCTAAAGGTGAAGTCATTGCTTAATTGCTGTCCATATAGAAGAAAATTCTTGAGAAGATCTTATGGATATGCTTGCTGATTTCTTTTCTCACAAGTGATGACATTATACAAAATTTGATATTAATCCTTGATGTATTTTTGTATTAAAACACAAATATATTTCCACAGCTATTTGTAAATAAAAAAACCTGTAATTCTATAAATTCATCAGTCCTCTTTACATCAAATAGTAATGATTTCTGGTGAGATTTTTAAATAATTAATATGGCCTCTTAGCTGAACAACTTATTCCTTCAACTGCTTTTATGAATTTGTTTTCTATTAAGAATCACGAAGCAATATTTAGTCTTATGCAAGACAACATTCCAAGCTACACAATTCCTATGAGAAAGGGGAAGATAGTAAACTAGTCTGTATCTCATAAAGAGAAGGAATATGAAGTAGAAAGATTATATAATTTGTAGCTCACAACTAGATATTGGTAGAGTCAAGAAATCAGATTATCCTGCTTCTCTAAGCAAAAATCAATGCTTTCTCAACATGCAAACTCAATATGGGTTAAATCAGGAGCAACAGACTCTTCAGTCTGAAACTTGTGATTTGGGATACAAAATGTCATACAGTAAAGCATAATTTAATCTCCCAACTCTTCAATGTAGTTCAGCTAAAGAATTTAAGATGAGTTTGTTTCAACTGTTGAGTTAAAAAATGGACGTCTGAATTCGCTTCATTATCACTTTGATGTGTGAAAATTACGGAGGAACTCTCTTCCAGGAAGACTTCAAGACTATGCTGTTTTTGAAACAATAATTCTCACTCCTACTCTTCTTTGAAATGAGGCTGTTTTGTCAGCCTCATTTCAAAATGGGGAGTGGGTGCAGTGGGGAGAATGTTGCTTCATGTAGCCTTGTGATACTTCAGGTAAAGGCAGAACTTGTGAGAAATTCCCCACTGAAGAGAAAAGCAAATCTACACAAAGGAACTGCAATTTTTCAGATGTTATATTTTGCAAGTCATCTTTGTTCTCCTACCTACCCTCCTTCTTGAAGCAATGGTTAAGCTTTTCTTTGCCAGCAGCTAAATTAAGGTGACAGAAAGTGAAGAAACGATAAGTTTTTCTGGAGGTCTTGAACTTGTGCCAGTTTGCCTGTTTGACTATGCATGAGGGATGGCAGTGCTCTGTCAAGAAAGGCAATGTTTGGTGTCATGATCTCAGTCTGGTTGCATTCCTTTTCCTTTGGTGTGGGCTAGGGTAACTCACAATGACAGGCAAGAGTAGGGATAAACTTTTAAATACGTACACCAGACTATAAAGAAAAAAAGATGTTGTGACTAGTTTAGTTCCTTTAAAAACAATGAAGTCTGTACTAACTCTTACAGAAAAGTTTGAGATGCTTGGGATAGAATCTCAATAATACATGGAAGAAAGGATTAAAACACAAGAAATTTACATTTATAAGGTGAATTTTATCCCTATGAAAAATTGATATTTTCATAATATAATCATTTATCTTCCTGGTCCACTTTAAATCTCATATGTAATCTGCTATTTTTTCCTTTATAGAAAAAAATAAACAAATATAGAACATGTATTTTCTTTATAAAAATGAGCCCTTACAAACTGTATTTTACAGACAAGAAAATGAAGGGTCAGAGAGGTTACGTGTCTTCTCCAGGTCACATAGTTAATAAATGTTGGAGTCAGATTTCTAACCCAGGTAGTCTTGCTCCAAAGTCTGCACGATTACCTACTTTACTATATAGGTTAAATAATTGAGATTTCTCACACTGACATGAAACCAAAAGGATATTGATACACAGAGAGCAAATAAATGTCTTAATGTGGTTTGCAGGTTTGAGTTATGGGTTTGGGGAGGGGGGAAAAGGTAAGCTTGTAAAGTTATGACAAAAGTGGACATCAGAGTTTACATTTTTAAGCCCTAGAAGCCCTAGGTTGTGGCAAGGTCCAGAGTGTCCCCATGCATTGGATTGCTACAGCAAAGAGGTGCTGGGAATTAAGTGTACAGTGCTTAATGAGTCTTACACGTGAATTTTCATTTTACCCTGAAACAAATATTGGATTAAAATGTGGCCAAAAATAGGGGTTGGAAAGGGTAAGTCATGTGGTATGGCCCCAAAGAGAGGTATTATTCTACAAAAGGAACTTGTAATAGTTTGAACATGACTAAAGAGGAGTTAACTTGTCTTCTGGCAAGTGGGTTGCAGCCGTTGAAGTAGCCTGTGGTGTATAAGGGAAGGCTGTGTATATGAAGAAAAAAAATTGCCATTAATCTGTAAATGGCCCCAGACTCTGGCATAAACCTAAACAGACTTCTTTTTGGAGAGAAAACCCATCAAAAACTGATATGTAAATTAAGAGAAAAAAAAAAACCTTTCCCTCTTTTTAACCTCACCCCCAACACATATCCTTAGTGGTATAGCCATAAATAAACAATGGAACTATGTTAACTACACTAACTATAAGCTCAAAGGCCTTTTCTTAAATTAATGGTGTTTTTCACAGTTCTCCACCTCTGTAATCAAGTTACGCTTATGGAGTTGATTGAAATAAACAATCACACTCTGAAATGTGTCCCTAAATTATCATAAATGGTAAATTTAACAACAATGCAACAGGGAAATTGCCTTGTTCAAGAATGATATGATGTTTATAGATAAATCGCTTAAATGCAAAAGATATCATGTGTTCCAATGAGCATCTCTTCTTTTCAATATTATATTCTACAAAGGAACAAATGCACATGCATTTTTGTATCTGCTTCAGGGAACTCTCACATATTTTATCATCTATATTTTTAGTGGTGCTCCCTGACTGCTCACACTGCTGGAGTGCCTGGCACTGGGGACAGAAAAGCAATGTACCGTGGTCAAGAGTAACTATAATAGTAGTTTCATTTGGAGCAGGCTCTTTGCCCAAAGTCCTAATTCAAGTGATACTAAAGAGCTCTCTAGAGGTTGTAAAGGAAGGCAATTGCAAATGCGTAGCCCACAAAATTACTTTTACTTGGTTTGAAGGATACTTACTGAAACGTTTTCATTCTACTGTTCTTCATTGTTAGATACTCAGATTCTACAAAGTGGGCAAGGCAAAACGCTGCAGTATTTGGCCAAGAGGCCAACTGCAAAAATGGAAGATCATTGTATTATTTTCTTAAGAAATGTTTTGTATGTACAATAAACCATACAGTCCTCTGAAACAAATATTTTATTGTCTCAATTTTAACAGATGAATTACAATTTATATGTGGTTCATAATAAATGAATATCACTGGGCTTGAGTTTCTCAATGGAAAACGTTTAGTACAGTGTAGGTGATCCTAGTTTTGTTCTTATTTTAGTTCACACGTAATTTAATATTTATTTCTTTAGAAGTATCTGCATTTGAGCTTTAAATTTTATTTATGATAAAATATTAATGCAAATATTCAATTAAAACAAGGCAGATATTTCCATATTCCTATCCTCATTTTCCATGATATCTTCTAGTTCTTGATTATCATGAGTAAGCTCATTTTTTACACATGTGTAGTAATAGTCTGGATAGACTTTTATATTTTACCATGTTTTCTCATCCATCTCCTTTCACCTCACATTGCAGATATCCATCTATGCCAACATCATTAAGTAAGCCATCCTTTTTCCATTGTCTTGAAATATTACTTTAGTGCATATTAAACTTTCATACATATCAGGCCTATTTGCACTTCTTTTTTATTTACTTGAGTTTTTAATTTATTTTTCAATGTAATGCCATAGTAGTTTCATATTGGTAATGTCATTGTTTCTCTTCATATATTCTTTATATTTTCTACAAATTATCTATTATAGACGAAAGATACACAGTATCTACAACCCAACAAAATCACAAATCTACAACCCAGGTATGTTTTCCCATCTTTGTTTTATAGTTTCCATGCCCATTCTTTGCAGACATTTTTTTCATCCAACTGTCTAGTTGATTAATCATATTATCTCCATTGCATTTTTCAACTCTTGTAAGTTATTAATTAATGTTCTTTTCATGAGTATGTAATATTTTCATTTGTACACTTGACTTAAAATTTGGAGTTCATCGAATTTGTCATCCCCTTCTTAACCATTCATGAACATTAGAATATGTGGACTCTGACCTGACTCTCTCCATCTTCCATATGATTTTATTATATTATTTTTGTTTCATCTTGTTTTTAATTCATTCTCTAAGTCAATCATTTATTAATTTTGCTTTAATCTAAAATAGTTATTTGGAATTTACCAGAATGATTTCCTTCCTTCCAGGTCTTCTTTCCTTCTTGTTGACATATACACTTTAGAAGTACTGACAGTCAGCATCTAGCAAAGATAAAATCTCTAAATCTTTCTTTGAAAAGATATTTGATTGTCATTATTTTTGAAAGAAAGTGTGAATAAGCTTAGGTTTTTCTTTTCACCACCCCATTCTCTCAGGGCTTTGAGTGTACTGCTGCAGGTTCAAACATACTCTTGATGCAAAGCCTTGTTCTTCTGCTTCCTCTCTGCCCTCTTTCTCCCTCCTCATGTGTGCTCTTGGTTCACTTCCTAGATTTATTCCTGCCTTGCTCAATTCTCTCCTCCTCAGAGAGGACATCCCTGGACCCACCTGCTTTCACCTCCCACACTTTATCAGGGTTCATTATCATCTTTTTATCTGGCATTACATAGATATTACCTGTCTCTCTCATTTGAAGGTCCAAGTTCTAGGACTTTATTTCATTTGGTGCAATATCACTTGTGCCTAGAACACTGTCTAGGTTATGGTTGGCACTCAAAATTTGGTTGCCGAAAGAATTTGTAAAATTTATATAATTTATAGTGGATATTGTACTACATTCTTATTCCTCTGAAATAGTGATTATCAATCCTGGTTGCAAATTAGAATCACCCAAGGAATTTTAAAAACATACATGTATCCATATCCCACTCTGAACTTTCTGATTCAACTGAGCTGTCTGGTGGCACAAAGTCAATGTTTTTAAAAAGCTACCCAGGATTTTCATTTCTCTTGCTGTTTGCTTCTCTGAACAGAATACAAATCTATTTGTTAATTAAATTTCAATTTGTCAAATTTAAAGCACATTTCTTACTGCTTTTCTAGTTTACACCAAGGCATATTAACTATACCTTTAGAATGAGATAATCATTGCCAACATCACAAAACTTTTTCTATTTTCCCTCTTCTTTCCCTCACATTGACAAAAATCTTCAGAAGCCTTATTTTCCTTCCCGCTAGCCCGCCCACATACAAATAGAGATTATGAGACATTTAAAATGCTATCTGTTTTGATTTTATATTCCCACATCCTTTCCAAACCTTTGAATTTTTTGTGCTTCTTAAAAAATTTTAATTCCATATTACATATAACAATGTGTGTAACACACCCTTTTGGTGACTTACTCAAAACCATTTGGAAGTTCTTTCTTGCTTACTGGACTCCATGATTTCTTGAAGGGCAAAGTGCCCACCTCTAGTCGATAAATTATTGTCAGCCTAAGACAATCATAATCAGATTCCCCTTTCCCAAGGATTGTTTTATGTACGGACATACCTTCCAGTTTGGGCCAATCAGTAATTACAGGAAGGCTGTTATTGTGCTTATGAGACAGATATTTTTCTCTGAAAAAAGATAAGCATCAGAAAAAATGACCATTACTTTTCTGCTTCCTTTTTTTCTGTAAGAATGTGATGGTTGGTTCTGCAGTAGCAATCCGTGACCATGAAATGATAGCATCATTAAAATGTTAAAATGGAAGGATAGGAAGGGCCAGTAAAACCAAAACCAGCAACAGCAGTAACAGCCACCACAGCAAGAGAAGCATGGGACCCTTACTACCAGAGTTCTTGGAAAGTACAAAATAAATGTTTATTCTTCTGTTATTCAGAATTTCTGTGGCTTGCAGTTTAACACAATAAAACTAGACACAAATTTCATTTCAGTTTCAAAATCCTCTTATTTAACATATTTTTAAACTGTCAATCACATTAGCATCACCAATTTGAATTCAACTATAGTACATTGTAAGATGCATCACTAACCACTGTTTATATTCCCTTTTCTCCTCCCTCATGTTGAAGTTAGAGCATTTTATATTGACACTTTACTGAGGCACCTTTGAATCTTTGCACATATGTGAACATAAATTTCCTGTGCTTTAATGATGTATTATTCTTGTGTCCCAATCTTTTTGCTAAGCAATCTGAAAACTAATTGCATTGTTTTTTGGCTTTTAGTATTGTAGATTTAAAGCCCCATGATAGTCTGGTTCTCTTTTCCTTGACCCCTTTATGTTAGGAAGTAAATAAGATTTCCTTTCTCTTTCAGGATTTCTAAAGGGACGTTCAGAGGGCCTTATATTTTTACTAATCTTCTCTAGAAGTTTGCCTCAATTTGTTCCTCTACTTCTTCTAGATTTGCCTGGTAGTATGGCTGATGCCTGTAATCCCCATGCTTTGGGAGGCCAAAGCAGAAGGGTTGCTTGAGCACAGGAGTCTAACACCAGCCTGAGCAATGTAGCAAGACTCTGTCTCTAATTTAAAAATATACATATTTTTAAAACATTTTATAATGAAATCTCTTCAATTTATGCTTCAGTAGTCTCAACTTCTCTCTTACTGTACCTTTGCACAGTGTCATGAGATACATGTTTCTGATCTTCTAGGTCACTGTTTCAGTTTATTTTATTTTTTTATTTTATTTTTTAGACAGAGTCTCACTCTTGTCGCTCAGGCTGGAGTGGAATGTTGCGATCTTGGCTCACTGCAACCTCCGCCTCCTGGGTTCAAGCGATTCTCCTGCCTCAGCCTCTCAAGTAGCTGGGACTACAGGCGCCTGCCACTATGACTGGCTAATTTTTTTTTATTTTTAGTAGATAAGGGGTTTCACCATGTTGACCAGGCTCCCGGCTGGTCTCAAACTCCTGACCTCAGGTGATCCACCCGCCTCAGCCTCTCAAAGTTCTGGGATTACAGGCATGAGCCACCGCACTTGGCCTGTTTCTGTTCTTAATAGTGATCATCTTCTCATTAAATTATTTGATAAAAATATACTGAATGCTATTTTTAAAGTAAATATTTTAGAAGTCTACTTGAAAATTTTGTTTTCCAATGTTTCCCAAAACACTTACGTTTTAATGAGGTCACATATTCTGGGTTCGAGCTTGATTTTCCTTTTTCTGATTATTGAGTTTCTTCTGGTTATTTATGTATGTATTTCTTTATCTCTGCTTGCTGAAGATTTTTCCAGTCCAATCTTTAATATCACTGGCCTTATAGTAGTAAAAATTAGAGTGGTCAATGTCTTGTAGGCCATTGGTAAAGATTTGACAAATCATGTATTCTTTGCTGAGAAGTAAGGGGAAGGTGTTTCTGCCCCCAGATTTCAGCTGATACAAACAGCAGTTGTGTCCCAATCTCAGGGCCCAGAAAAGATGGTCAGAACCAACAAAACACTCAATAGCACAGTCAAGTTTGACTGGCTGGATAAGTTGCAGAGAGTCTTAATTAATTAGCCCATGTATTTTAATTTATGGTTTTATGGTTTCCCCATTTTTCCCAAAGAATCATTTGTTTTTTACTTCACCAATCCTTTAGGAAATAAGGCTTGAAATACATATTCCAGGATGTAAGCCTCTTTCCATCTAAAGAGGCATTTAAGAAGATGTTCATAGAAAGATGAAGTTAGGGATAGTTTCCAAGAATTCCAAAGCTTAGTATTGTTATTTCTAAAGCCCATTTTAAAGGACTTTATAGTTTAAAATGTCATCTGTTTCCATACATCATATGTAGTTTATATCATAACTGGGAAGGATAAGTGAAAGTAGAAAAAATTCTTAAAAGTACAGACTGAAATTTAAACTCAAAATTTATTATTATAACTGTATTCAGTATCATTTATATTATTGGCTACTATGTCAAATATGCTTTGTGGTATATGAATGCACTGAGTGGAAAGAGTACAGATTTTCTAAGATTTTGTTTAAGATGCATCAAATGGATATGCTCGCTTATAAAATACATAAAAAACAGATATATTTTTTGAGATTAATGAATTAATTTAATAAAATACAAACATTAAAGTATGTAATAATTTTTTGCATACCTATATAAACTGAAATCTGTACACATCTATAAAATTATTTTGATAATTAAAATGTTAATATTAAACTGGAGTAAACTCATGCGGTATGCACCATACTGAATTTCCCTAAATTGGTGGTTCTCAAACATTCTTAATGTGTGTCAGAATCATCTGGAGAGTGCGTTAAAACAAAGATTGCTAGATGCCACCCACAGAGTTTCTGATTCAGTAGTTCTGGCATAGGGCCTGAGAATTTGCGTTTTTAGTAATTTCCTAGGTGGTGCTACTTTAGGAAGTCTGGGGAATACAATTTTTTAACCATTGCTCTAGACAAAGATGTCCTTGAGTCACTTCAAAAATTCATTAAAACCTTTGACAAAGCAATAGCATACTTAGTTGTTCACATTTTGTTTGCTAATCTTTTGTCTTCACTTTTGGTTTTACTTTTTTATTATTATTATACTTTAAGGTTTAGGGTACATGTGCACAATGTGCAGGTTAGTTACATATGTATACATGTGCCATGCTGGTGTGCTGCACCCATTAACTAGTCATTTAGCATTAGGTATATCTCCTAAAGCTATCCCTCCCCCCTCCCCCCACCCCACAACAGTCCCCAGAGTGTGATGTTCCCCTTCCTGTGTCCATGTGTTCTCGTTGTTCAATTCCCACCTATGAGTGAGAATATGCGGTGTTTGGTTTTTTGTTCTTGCGATAGTTTACTGAGAATGATGATTTCCAATTTCATCCATGTGGTTTTACTTTTTTAAGAAAAACAAAGCAGCATGGTTTCTCTACTCTGCTCCTTTCTCCAGGTTTCAAACGGGAAATGCACAAGGGTAGATTTCTTTGTTAGTTATAGGGTGAATGTTCAGCTTTGAAGAGCTGAAGTAGTGTGCTTTACTGACAAAGATGAACCATAAAGCGGCATCGTCCTTCCCCATGATGGTCTGTGATGAGTGATCTGCGGAATGGATAAAAGCAAAGTAGCTGCTGTGTGGCATTCACTTTTACTGTAAATGATATCATATGTTTGCATTTACTTTAAACGTGATCAAATGTAATAGGAGACAGTGTTGACAGATGCTGAAAAAGTGTTAACCTTTCCTTTTATCTTTCTTGCTTATGTGTATCTTGTACCATAATTCTTCTTGGATAGTTTTATTAGCTGATAGATGAAATGTGGCACAAAATACCCACACAAAGAGTTCCATTGTTAGAAAGAATTGTTTGTAATTCTACAAATGATATAGTCAAACTGCTTGGTTCATGTATGGTAACACCAGACTCTTTAAATAAAATGGTTTTGTATAAAAGTGCATTGTTAAAAGAAAATTAATTTGTTTTGAATGTATACTGAATTTATATTAAGTAATTGAGTCCAGACATATAGACAATTGGTTTATCCTATATCAGAAAACTATTTTTCAAGAATTCTAACTCAGTTGGTTTATATGAATTGAGAGTACAGTGTATTTTTCTTAAAATTTAACAATAAAGCTATGTTAAAAGATTATATTATTACTTTGTGTACTATATATTTATTAAACTAAATAGACATCATATAAAGCAAGTGTTTGTAGGCCTTCCTTGAAGCAGATCAAAGGATTCTGTTTCACTCTACAAAGTTAATGTAGAGGATCTCTTGGGAATGTATAAAGACCCTTACTCTATAACATTGAACATATATATTAGGGCATAAACTTTATTTTATACTGAATGAAATGAGACAATATTTTGGAATATTAAATTCATCCATTTTTATTTTCCTTATATCTTTCTTGCCTTGCAATTCCAATTCTGAAGCCAGAAATATCTAAGACAGGAAAAGTTGGTTAGTTGGCCTTTTTAGCAAAACAAAAGCAAAGAAAACTTCTAATTATCCTGAGAGTATTTTATTTTATTTTATTTTATTTTCATTTTTGTCCTCCCCTGTAGTGTCAGGTGATGCCGGTGGGTCTGTTGTGGGGTCTGTTGTTAAAAAAAGAGAAGCTACTCTGACAGAAGTTGAAGAGAAACACATGAATTAATGAAAAGATAGAGAACAGGACAGCTACTAGGGAAAATATACCAACCTCAAGAGCTGAGGGAATGTCAGATCAGCCAATAAAGGCTCCTGGCCATAGTCAAAGCCAAAACAAATAACCAAGAAAAAGCAAACAAACAAAACCACTTTACGAATTAAGTCCAACACCAAATTTATCAAGGAAAGTCAAAACTATTTCATAACAGAGGAGACAGAAGGCATATGGGGGCTCTCGCATCTCAGGGTAATTTGAAACTACCTGCTACAATGCTCTACAACCCTATTTTTGAGAAAAAAAAAAGGAAAAGGCAAGATTAAGAGATATTGAGCATTTATTTTTCAAAAAAATTGTTTAAGTAATCCAAATGAATTATGATTTATACCAGATAGGGAGTTTATTATTTTAACTCACCACCTGGATTGGGAAGAGAGCTGATTAGTTAATACAGAGTGTCTATATATTCTGGTATAGTCAACCTGGTTTGGAAACCAGAATTAGTTCTGCTAATTCCTGTTACCCCAACATCAGTCTGATTGATCATTTGTCTTATTTACATTTTTTGATAAACATTACTGTTTGTAGTTGCATCACAATAAACTGGAATAAATATCCAGCTTTCTCTACACATCATTAGTAGTATGTGAGATACATGTGCAATGAATGGAATTCTCACCCAAATGCATAGTTAAATCTTAATGACCCAACTCTCTTTTCTCAGCTTTCTCCAAGGACAGCAGGCACAGTTCTTGCTGATGATAAAATGCTGTTCTGGGATAGTTCGTTCTTCTGATATTGGGTGGTAGTAGGAGAAATATTTAATGCTGCTCCTTTTTGAACACTTAGCAAACGAATGAGTTGTGTCTTGGCCACCATTGCAACCTGGGAGCTCCACAGATATGCAAGACTGTTAGTGGAGTCAAAGGAAAATAAAAGGTATTATAGGTCAGGTACATGAAGAATATGCTCAAGAAAAATAGTCTGAGCTGTCTGTCTGGCAATAGAGAATATAGATAATGCCATTTGCCATTTATCATGTGGTATACATCTATAATTATTTATCTTATTGTTTGGTAATGTTTTGAATATGCAATGACCACTTTTGGCCACCATAAGTGCACAAAGATTCATGTTTAATTAAAAATTAATAAGGGATTTTCCTGTCTCCAAAAGTTGATGATGAACATGACAATACATTGTCCACATTCACAAGCCACCATGTAGACTTGTGAAAACCATTTATCATATTAAATACAGAAGACACAATTCATCTGTGAAAGCTTCAGCATCTATTTAATAAAATTAGTCCTTATGGTAAGAGGACTCTGTAAGTTGCAGATAAATATAACTCTGATAACTGACTTATCATTTGGATCAAATAGGTATTTTAGTCTAAACTCATTTTACTCATTTGATTTCAAGTTTTCTTGTGCATTTACAAATAATGAGGCAATTGCTGTTCATGTTGGTTCTATTAGCAGAAGAAAAACTTCTCAAACAGTTAAGTGACACCAGTTTTATGTCAGTACTATCAGCTGTTAGAAATATAAATTTAATGTAAGGTTGACTTTTCTCTATCCATTTCACGGAAACAAAGTAAACCATGTTGGCAGTTAATTCTGTCAAAAATGAGACATCTGATTTTATTGTGCATGCCATTGTATGTTCAATAAATATTTCGATACTGTAGCTATATTTTTGTTGCCTTGTGGTAATAAGTTTAAAAATTTGGTGGCTCATGGTATCATAGAGAAACAATATATTTACTAAATTACCCAAGAAAAATAGTCTGAGCTGTCTGTCTGGCAATAGTATTTATGCCAGAATTATTAAAAATATTTATGGACTTGGTTGTAAGTGCACTTGTTTGTGAAGCACATGTAGCCCACGCTTGTATGTCATCAGATGTAATATTACACAAATTAATCTGTAATTATTAAAAGGTTTACATTTTTTTGTAAAACTAACACCAAATGAAAAAGAAAACTTTTAACTTGGCAATCTGCATCGTTTCTTTTTTGGTTGCTGCCCATCCAGAAGTTAATTTAGATTACATTTATATATTTATAGATGCTAGACAAACAAGTAATTTCACAACATATAATTTTGCCATAGAACTCTTCTTATAAAAAAATAATTACTCAAAATAGAAAATATAGTCAGCAGAAGGAAGAAAATGGGATGAAGAGAAACTGTATATAAGACCTCTTCCAGGGTTCTTAATTTTGAAATTCAGTCATTCAGAATTTAGTTATAATATCTTGGAACATACTTTGAGAGGATGGGTTTTAATGTAAGTCTAGCCAGAAAGCGAGCTTATAGCTAGTTTTGGAAAGCAAATGGCAGCTTAACTCATTTGGGAACCCAGAGCATGGAGCCATGCTGGTCTCCTGAACTCGACTGACCCAAAGTGTAGCCACATGGCTTAATCCACATCAAAATCATATACCAAAAAATGTGTCTCTCCTTCACAGACGTTAGTATCCTTGTATAAAGGCAAAGATTTTAGATAATCATATCTAGAAAACATTTTCCTTCTCTTCACAGAATTTTAGAAGAATGATGAAGATTATCACCTAATGTCTGAAGCACATGACTTGCAAAAATGATTGGAGAGCATGATAGTATGACAGACTGTATAAATCAATCTTGGGGGAAGAAACAACTCAACAACCAGCAGAAATCCTGATAGTAACTTTGATCTTGGGTTTTGTCCACATAGATCTGATACCTTTCTGTTTTCTCATCATGGGTGTTGATGAATAGGTTTGTGGTTTTCTTTGTCAATAAATAGATGAGTAATAAGCTATGTGTAGCTGTCAGTCAAGTTTTTATTAGGTATAATATTATTGACCTTTCAACTTACTAACCATGGAAGATTTTGATTCATAAGACATAGGATGATAAAAGACTCTGAAGATCCTAGGAGGTCTGTGTATAACCATATTGAGTACATATGAAAACAAAAAGTCCTGTAAGTTAAAATTAATTTGAACTCCTTTAAAAATTTCTTTCCAGGCACATATTCCATGTATTTACTCGCATAAACCTTTCTATGTGGAACTACTTACATGTAACAATTCAGAAATTCAGATGTGAAAGGTCAAATAATCACATCCCTACCATCATACAGAGAATAAAATAGGTATATGAAAATTATTTGCTGTACATAAGATCACATTTTTTTTAGTATTGACAATTCTAGAATCAGGATTTGTCTTTTCAGAATTTCTGTTTACTATTATTTTTCACTGCATTTAATATGTATTTCTATATTTGTATTTAGTGTCTGCTTTGAGAGTAAGCAGATACATTGTTTATAAAGGTAGTTTACAGAGAGTAATCAATGATTAACCACTACAGTCCATGACAAATGACATCTGGACCATTAATTTTGTTGTTTATTTTTTACTACTTAACTTGTAGATATTTATAACTGGAAAACAGCTTCCTTTCCATCCTAGACATTTAGAAGAATGATGAACAGATTGTACCACATAAATTTTAACCATATTACTTATATAAATGAATTAACAGGAATACAGTTTTAGGTTTTATAAATTAAGTTTGAGGGAGAAACAATGGGTTAAAATTAAATCATGCAATAATAGAGAACAATATTAATTTCTTCTACTTTTTCCTTTGAACAAGTGCTCCTCGTATTACTGTGTTCAAGTGTCTCCCTTTTCCCATAATCTTATACTAATGACATCCTCAAACTATATTTACATACTTTTCTATATATTTCACTCTGTTCCTCTCAATATAATGTTTATTTAATCATTATCTCCAATACTTTTCTCCTGTTTCTGGTGCAACCTGTTCTCTTTTTCTTCTTGAAATTTTTTGTTTGTTTTTTGTTTTGTTACGTGGTCTTGCTATTTTGCCTAGGCTGTCCTCAAGCTCCTGGGCTTCAGTATCCACCCACTTCAGCCTCCCCGGTAGCTGAAACTACAGGTGTGCCTCACCATGCTAAGCATCTCTGGACACTCAGTACTAGTTCCCAGTTAGCATTTGAGAGAATATTCCAGTTTGTTGTCACTCTATGTGACTAAGATGTCCTTTAACCTATGAACTCTAAGTGGTACAAATATAATTCAGAAATGGGAAAAAATGTCCTGTAGTAACACACATCCCCAGGAATTCAGTTGCTTAGCACAACAAACATTTTTCTCTCATGATGCTTTTCTAAAGCTGATTGTAAGTAGGACTCTACTCATAAGTACTCAAGACTGAGGTTGGTAGAGGTTTCATTTCAACACAAGCCTTCACAATGCCTAAGGCAGAGAGAAAGGAATATGAGTTGTGTGCTGGCTTCTAAAACTTCCTCACAGAAATGGCACATGCATTTCTACTCTTATTTCATTGCCAAGATTAAAACACATTGGTGTACCTAACTTCAGATGGGAATTGGTAGGGAAGTGAAATTCTACCCTTTGCCTGACGAGGGTCATATTCTGTGTACTCCAACCTTAAATTCCATTTTCACATTTGTGGTAGGTAGAATTCTGAGAAGACTTCAACATCCCTATATTGGAGTATAATTAGCATAATCTCCTTTGCTACAGTGTGGACAGGATCTATAAATATAATGAGAAATCACTGCCTTGATTAGGCTTATTTAGATGGTAAAGGTGAAGGGATTTTGTAGATGTAATTAAAATTCCAAGCAAGATGATTTTGAATCAATTGAAAGAAAGATGATCATGAGTGAGTCTGACAGTCAGGAAAATTTATTAAAATAGGGACTGGGCCTTTTCTGAAGAAAGAAACTCTAGCTATGAAAAAATGAGCTTCCAAGTTGTGAGATGGCCTGTAAGAAGTATGTTTGGGAGAGGGACTTGTGGTAGGGAACTGCCTCTAGAAACTGAGAGATGTCTCTAGGTGATAGCCAGTGTATATTGCAACCCAAGGAGACCCTGAACTTAGAACCCAGCTTAGCCGTGCCTAGACCTTGGAGCCACAGAACCTGTGAGATAGCAAATGTATGTTCATTTAAACCACAAAGTTTGTGGTAATTTGTTATACATTAATAGAAAATAATACATATTTCCATGTTCTCTTTCATATTCCCTCTATTCCATCTATTATATATTTTTTGGAGTTTACTAGATTATATCTTTATGAATGTAATATATATAGTATGAATGATATAAAACATACATAAATATGTAATTGAGTAAATTTCGAAAAAAAATGTAGAGCAATTAAGAGACAAGGTATTGCGCCATTGCCTAAACTATAATGTAGGAGTATGATTACAGCTTATTGCAGGATTCAGCACCTGGGCTCAAGTGATCCCAGCCTCCTGAGCCTCAGCCTCCCGAAATGATAGGACTACAGGTACGTACCACCACACTCGGCTACTTTTCAATTTTTTGTGGAGACGGGGTCTTTCTATGTTGCCCAGGCTGGTCTCGATCTCCTGGTCTCCAATGTTCCTGCTGCCTCGGCCTCTCAAAGCACTAGGATTACGTGCCTATGCCACCATGTCTAGCCTGTGAGTATATTTTTAACAGATATATCTTGATTGCATAATCCATCATTTTGTAAGCATTAATGTATGCCTATTATCAGCCAGAAATAGTGATATTGGTGATATGGGGCTTAAAAAGAAAACAAAGGCTTAAAGTTTTTATAGTGAACAGGGACAAATAAATGTGTTATTAATAAACAAAATTACATTAATAAAAGCATTTTCTAAATGTTGAGTCTTTCATAAAGTGGAGTGATCTATTCATGTATTCATTTTTTTTCTGCTAATACATACTGAGAATCTACTATATTCCAGGATATAAGGAGCAGCTAAAGTTTTATAGAATAGGTGACGTGCGAGCTGGTCTTTAAAAGGAATTTGCATCTGCCATATATTAAATAAAAAGATGAAAAGTACATGACCTGATATGTACACAAATAATACAAGCCCTTTATGAGATGAAGGTCATGGTAAATACTCTATGTTCTGAGGATGGAAAAGGCCAGAATCTAAATGGTCATGGGGTAGGGGCCCTTTTAAATCTTGATGCATCAGGGACTTTGATGTTATTCTACCTGGATCTGAGAGCAGCAATGAAGGTTAGTTGAAGAAGCATGTTTTAAATTCCTTCTCAGGATTTAGTCATTATTCATTCTTTAGAAGACTTTAAATTTGAGAAAGATCTCCCAGAGGATAGTCCAGGTCCACAGGTAAGAACGTGGCATGAAATTCTCTAGTGAATTGTATTCTTGAGCTTCTGAGGCTTAGAGCAAAGCAGATAAAAAGCAGCTAAGCAAAAAATATCAGAAGACAGTAAATTTTACCCTAATTTTTTTCAAGTTGTTTCTGGGTTTACTATAACTTTTAAGAGTGTAATAGGAAAGTTGGTGATAGGAATGAGGATAAGAACTAACCACCTTGTTTTATTTTTCACCTTCGGTCAATCAAGAGAAAGCATGTTGTCAATAGCCTTCACCTCCGATATGTAGTCAAGCAGCCTCCACTAGAGATCAATTCACAATTGAACTATGTGTTCACATGATTAACCTACTCATTCACACCTGAGCCACATTATAACTATGAAATGGGGAAACTTTCACTTTTGCAGTTCATTTTTACTCCTGTGAAAACGGGCCTCACCATAACATTGCTCTCAATCTTACAGCTATCTACTAACAGGAAACTAACCTTAAAAGAAAACAAGATCAATCACTAATTCTATTATTTAACATTAAATTTTATAAACTTTTCATCTTTACATACACATTAACTCCAAATTATACTTTTAATTTTTAACACCTGAAAAAAATGAATGTATATTAAATTTAACAAAAATGATTTAAAATTCACAAGTGAGAAAGTTATTTGAAAGAAAGTCTAGAACTTCTTCTTATTGATATTTTTGGCATTCTTGTAGGTAAAATGCAATATGTAGCCTTTTGAATGTTTCTAATGTGATAAAATATTAACCTCATAGAAAAATAGTTGTACTATTGTAGAACTTTCTGATTAAATGTTTCTCATCTGTCACTCAAAGTTTTGGAAACTGGAATTTAGTTTCTCATCTAGAGTTGTCACAATGCTTTTGAGCTGAGTAAAATTGGCTAAATTAAAGATATTATACTTAAATTAAAATTGTACCCATATTATAAGAATCAGCTGAAGCATAATCATTTCACTTAGTTTTATTACAGTTTAAAAATACAATATATGCCATATAATTTTGTTAAGAAATAGTATGAATTCAAAGTCATTTGTGGGTGTAATAGCATTATTCATTTTTTAATTTTTAAAATAAATCCCAATCTCTAAACCATAGTTAGAAAAATGCAGTCATGAAGCATGCTGACATCAGTTTTAGGTCCCAAAAGAAAGACAAAAGTATTCCCCCCAAAAGAAGTGCCATTTAATCTCCAGTGACTGCACATTGTGTTATGTCTCCTCCACCCCAAATGCCTACTTTGGTACTGATATTGCACCCTGGCTGAGTTTGTGCCAGCGTTTTGGGGAAAATGTACAGTTTTATCCCTTTGGTCAAATGAATGTATTTTCTACTCTAGGAGCCAATCTCACTATTTCAGGAGAAATTTAGACTTTTCACCATTATCTCCAAAATGTGACAAGGTCAAAGGAGGGTTAGAGGTAAATAGAAATAACGTGGGATGTTCAGAGCCTTCATAAATACAATGTTCTCTAAGTGGCTAGTATTTTGCATTTTATGAAAGTTATGACATGTACACAGTGACAAAACTTTGAGGTTAAAGTAGCAAAATGCAAAGTTAAGTGACAGGAAAATGTTACTAATATGCTTTACAGGGTAGAATTTAACATAATTTTACAGTGTACAATCATCATGTTTTAGATAACATTTTGAAAAGAAACTAATATGAATCAATGTATTACTAGCCAAGTTATAATAGAAGAATGCTCAGGTTGTGTATTTTTTGCTTCCACTTAGTTCTAGGTTTCTTACATACCTTATTTCGTTCTCTAATAATGATTCTTCAACTTGGGGATCCCCCTCATCCTTTATAGATGAGGGGACTGAGGTTTAGTATGATTAGGTGTATTTGTACTCATTTATTTATTCAAGAAGTATCCTTATTTACTTGCTTATGATTTTTTTTAGGTATTGATTACCTAACTACCTGCAGGGTACAGTGTTAGGTGCTACAGAACCCTGACAGAATTCTAAACCTAGTAAACAGCAGTCCAAGAATTGTGAAAAGAGAAATGCTTTCCTCAGATCTGTGATTCTAAAATACCCTGTATACCATGAAGAATAGGCTACATTGAAATGTTCATTTAAAATATATGTGCTTAAATTGCAGCAGTCTTTAGAACCTAAGAAGAATCTCAGTAGCCCATATAGCACTTTAATGAAATAAGTTGAGCTCTTAGACTGCTGACCAGCAGAGTGCATTGGTTTGTTCCCTGTTCTTGGGATTCTTTGATCTTGTCATAGGTTGTGCTGTTTGGGAACTCAGTTGAGCCCAATGTACAGTTGCTTCAATAAAGGGCAAATGTGAAGGATCACTTGCTGACTTTTGACATATTGCTACTCTCAGACAATCACTGTGGTCACTGGGATACAGCAATAGGTCTGAAGAATTCACTGAAATGTAGAGTCTTTGGACAGGACAGCTTCCCTTTTGAATCCATGTCTCTGGCACAATGTACATTAAAAGGTCCAATGTGGAATTACAGGTCTACTGGGAAATTCACCAAGGACTTATATTAAAATAAAAAAAATCTCAAATCAGGAAAGGCAATTTCTGTGAATAAAATAGCTAAATTAACCCTCATTTCCTAGGTTGAGGAATTCTGACAAACTACAATGTTGTGATAATGCACTTAACAAATAAACAATACTGTGAAATGAAGCAAGACTTTTTTTAAAAAAGGTAACAAAATAACTAATGTTTTAATATAGTACAGATTTTAATGTATCATAAAAGAAATGATGTGATAATATATTTTACTAAAGAGTTTAGCGGTGGGAGTAAAACTCAATTAAGGCCAGACTCATTAACATTTAATTTCATTTGGGCCTTTATTGCTTGTAAATGTATAGTTTCTTAACTTTCTCATTCACTCTTACTCATAATTCTAGTGAGCCTTACATCTTTCATGGATGACAGTGCTTCTCTAAGAAACTCCCACAGATGAATTTTTCATTTATGAAGAGACATATTTTTTTTTTTAAGAGCTGACATCTCCTGATTTAGGAGAGCTAAGCTAGTAGGGAAGCAGATACTTGTCATTGTGAAATGATCCCAAGTGAATTGAGGTAATGGAAGGAAGATGCAATTTTGACATGTACCAGTAGTTTCATACACGTGGCATAAATAATGCTTGCAATTTTGGAATAGGCAAAATACTACTGGATCTAAGCCAGTCTAGGATTTTAGGACACCTGTAAGTAGTCTGACTTTCCATGTGAAGTACCTATTTCAAAGTTGGAAATAGTACTATTTATCTGAGAAATAAAGCATTATAACAATGTTTGTATTGAAGTTAGGAGAAGATATGTGTTACTCTATTTCTTTGGTGTTTCACTAAAGAAACTTAATGTTCCAGTATTCCATAGATAAATAAGGAAAACAGTGTATTATTTTAGGCTCTTATTAAAACATATAATTATTACATATCTATGCATAAAAAATCCAAAACTTAATATTACAAATACCCATGTAACCACAGTCTAAAATCTAATAAATGTTACAGCTTCATCCTGATAATTTCAAAATTATTTTTGAGTCAATAAGTGTTACAGATAAAGTTGAGGAGGTAACGTTCCCTTGGTACCTGTGCTCAATCCTATTCCACTCCTTCCTTCACAAAAGCAACCCTTACCGTGAGACTGATTGGTATTCATGTTGTAACACTTTTACTAGTGTTATTTGTATACATAAGTAACATTTTGGATTGTCATATATGTGTATCGTGGATCGCAAGGACTCTACACAGAACAGGATCTCTTTCGAAGTCTCGTGATATGGTGTCATGATATACTTTTCATTCTACAGCTTGTTTATTCATCTTAGTGTTTTTGAGATCTATAAGTTTATATGTATAAAGATAAAAAGATAGATCATTCTTTATGTATCTCCTAGTTAATTATATTTCCAAGTATACTGTTTTTGTGTAAATTTTATGTAAATGTAGAACAAATATATTATTACTAACATCTGGATTTTTACATTTACTATTTTTCTCTGATTATTGTTCCCATCCTATCGTCCATTTAAATTTTAGTCTCATTTTATCTTTTTTTTTTTTTTTTTTTGAGACTCAGTCTTGCTCTGTAGGCCAGGCTGGATTGCAGTGGTGCTATCTTGGCTCATTGCAACCTGTGCCTCACTGGTTCAAGCGATTCTCGTGCCTCAGCCTCTCGAGTAACTGGGATTACAGGCATGTACCACCATGCCTGGCTCATTTTTGTATTTTTAGTAGAGACAGGGTTTCACCATGTCGGCCCAGCTGATCTCAAACTACTGACCTCAAAGGATCCACCCCTCTAGGCCTCCCAAAGTGCTGGGATTGATTACATGTGTCCAAGTATGTACTTTTAATGGTTACATTTAAATGTTTTAATATAAACATATAAACACAATAAATTTACTAATTAAATATAAAGGTTTTTTATATGCATACTTAAAATGTACAACAGGGTTATCTTAATTTATTTTTCCCATTTTCAATATATTGTTTTCAATTTTATTATACTTGCTTTAATCCCTACCTATAATACCAGTGATTTTTTTCCCCTTAATCAGTAAATACTGATTAAGATTTAATAAAATGTCTTAGCCATTTATTTGCTTACTATTGCTTTTTTTATCTATAACTTTTTTCTCAGTTATTTTTTGTTCCCTACTAACATATTTTCATTCATCATTTTTTCAGTGAGGGTCCATGAAATATAACATTTCTGTTTTGTTATTTTTTAACGTCTGAAAATATTCATTTAGCTTTCACATGTCAATGTATTTATTTTAGTATGGATTTCTAGATTGACAACTATGTATTCTAAACATTTTTAGAATATTATTACTTTGTATACTAGCTTCAAATGTTTTGCTGAAAACTGCAGTAAAATTGGTTGTAATTTCCTTGAAGACAATCAGTCTTTCTTTTCTCTTTATTTTCTTCCTTTGGTACTTTAGAATATTTTTTTCTTTGTGTCATGTTGCGCATTTTCACTACAATGTAAACTGATATAGGCATATTATTTATTCATTTACCTTGGTTTTCTGTGTGCTGCTTCATTCTGCGAACTATTTTTTTCTCTCTTCCTTTAAATTCTCTTTAAATTTTTAAAATTTTCTTTTATATTTAAATCTTTTCATCATGCCTTAAAAATATCTACTTACATATTATCTCTATTCTCTAATTCTGGAATTCATATCAGTTGTATGTTGAAATTATTTCATCTTTCTTTTTTTTATTATACTTTAAGTTTTAGGGTACATGTGCACAATATGCAGGTTAGTTACATATGTATACATGTGCCATGTTGGTGTGCTGCACCCAGTAACTCGTAATTTAACATTAGGTATATCTCCAAATGCTATCCCTCCCCATCCCCGACCCCACAACAGGCCCCCGTGTGTGATGTTCCCCTTCCTGTGTCCATGTGTTCTCATTGTTCAATTCCCACCTATGAGTGAGAACATGTGGTGTTCAGTTTTTTGTCCTTGCGATATTTTGCTGAGAATGATGGTTTCCAGCTTCATCCATATCCCTACAAAGGACATGAACTCATCATTTTTTATGGCTGCATAGTATTCCATGGTGTATATATGCCACATTTTCTTAATCCAGTCTGTCATTGTTGGACATTTGGGTTGGTTCCAAGTCTTTGCTATTGTGAATAGTGCCGCAATAAACATATGTGTGCATGTGTCTTTATAGCAACATGATTTATAATCCTTTGGGTATATACCCAGTAATGAGATGGCTGGGTCAAATGGTATTTCTAGTTCTAGATCCCTGAGGAATTGCCACACTGACTTCCAATGGTTGAACTAGTTTACAGTCTTAATGTTAATTTCAAGTCTTAATGTCTGAAATGTTTTGAAAAGTCTGAGAATGAGTATAAATCTAAGTAAAAAAGGCATTCAATTTTTTCATCTTTTAAAGTAAATAAATTTGCCTTATTTCCATTTTTGTCACAGATCACAAAAAATAATTTGAAAGTAAAGCTCTCTATCATAAGTGGGAATAAAAATTCAAATTACATACAACTCACAGTAGAGATAATTAACAAAATAGTAACAATGTTAATCAATTTGGTTTTGGTATGCTAATCATTAATTATATAATTTCATTATTATGTATTGAGTACTTAGTGCATGTTAGACACAAAGTCATGCACTGAATTTGTGGATGAAAAAGACTTAGAATTTGTTCTGAGACATCTGAGATTCTTGTGGTGTAACTTGGAGAGGGTGCTGAGAATGACTTGCCTGAGAATTAACTTATTGTATTCAATATTCCTAGAAATCACCTCAAATCTATGTCTGGGAATTTCTGGAGATGAAACCCTGTAATATTTCTGTTTGAAATTTATGTTCTACTGGATCCAGAGTCAAAATGGTTAGGTTGAACTAGTTTAATTTGTGTTAACTGTCCTTTGAAATTCAACGTTTATATTTTTTAACCATCAATGCCATTTTATTTTTTCAAAATGGGCAAGAATCATGATTGCAATTTATTACATTACCTTAGCTTCTATACCATAAAAATCTCTCCCAGAGAAGAAGCCCATTTATATAAGTATTATAGTAATGACAATTATTCATTTAATATATAGTATGTACCAGGATCTGTATGTATATTGCCTCATTTAATTCTCAATAACTCTATGAAGTAAAAATTATAACCTCGATTTATAGATGATGATACTAAGCCTTGGAAATTTAATCAATGCTTGAATCTTGGTGATTATAACTCCAGAGCTTTTCTCTTCACTACTAAGTTGTATTATACATTATATATGTTCCCATGGACTGGTTGGGATAACACCATCTTGATCACTAGATCAAGTCTAAACTTACCGCTCTTAGCCACAGTGTATCCTTTGCAAGATGAAGGAAGATTTATTCATACCAAAATGACCCTAGAAATCTAATAAAGAATAAATTTTTTAAAAAACTTGAAATGTTATTTTATTTAATAAATAATTATGTGTGGGCTTATGATTACGATTATGATTATGTGTGGCTAATTTTTGAAATACTTTACTGTTTTCTATTTATTCCTAAATAGTTTCATTAGAAAAGAATGAAAACTATTTTGATCATTTAGTAAATTATTATTCCCTAAGAAAAATGGAAGTTAAAGTAGATAAAAATAATAATTAGGAATGCAATATGAATTATTCTAAACTCTAATAATTGTACATAAAGTTTTCTTAATTATAGAGGATTCTCCCTCATAGTCAATGAAGTTGATTAGAATCACTTGTAGACATGAGAATGCTTACACAATCAAATGAAAATAATGTGGTATTTTAATTACCCACACCTGCAAACATTTGAAGGCAAACACCCTAGTGATTTTTTTCAAGTGTTAGAAATCAATATACAACTTGTATTCAGTCTGAAATTTGTAAGAATGCTTCCAAACTTTATTCTTTTATGAACCATGAAAACTAGTATTTCCTTGTAATTCTAAGATTTCTTCCTAATAGTTCACTTTTTATCTAGTTTCTCCTCCATCTCTTTCATTTGCTACTTTATTGTTAGAATTGTCTTTCTCCAATTACATTTTTTTAAAAGGGTACTATTATTCAGTTTTATATAGAATAATCTGCAAATTTCTTGGCATAGTTTACGCAGTCATTCATAGTATATGTAGTTACTTAAAATGGATCCAAACCCATTAAGGATGATTTTGCTTTAGGGAAAAGAAACCTATTAAAATTAGTTATGAAATCATTGAAAGATACAAAATTGTTACAAGACTCAAGTCCAAAGGCACAGATTGGTCTCACAAACCAGAACTACCCCTCTGGCTTCATGAGCCCCAGATACTGTGGCTGATTAGTTTCTCATCCTGATTACTATTTATATCCTCTTTCCTCTCTCTTTCTGCAGTCTAGATTTTCTCCTTTAGTTTACAGAAAATAGCCTTTTTATTTGTGAAGATATACTTCCCCTCATACTTAAATCTTACTGCTGAGACTCACTTTTTCCTAAATCCTAATCCTCAAAAAAAAAAAAAGTCAATTGGATCCATTTGAGGGCCATTGTCTACATTGTTCTAATCAGTTGTAGCTGGCTGGCAGGAAGTGGCATGGTCACTCCAAGCTGAAATGGAAGTGTGACCCAGCATTTTAGAAAGAACTGCAGGTAACAATCAATTATCACAGAAGGTAATGCAAGCCAGACATAGCACCTTCCCCTCAGTGCCCAGCCCCAAAATGTGTCATCTCTAGGAGCATTTTCATAGCACCATGATCCTGGATCTCTGATCCTTCTCATTTGACAGAGAGATACATTTCCTCATGCAGTGCCAGCCATGTCCCTGAGATGTGATGGTGAAGGCTCAAGTAAATGGATTTGGCTGTATTGGGTGACTGGTCATCAGAGCTAACTTCAGCTAAGTAGATATTGTTGCCATCAATGACCCCTTTCTTGACCTCAACTACATGGTCCACACATTCCACTATGTCAACCCATGGCACAATTCATGGCCTAGTCAAGGCTGAAAATAGGAAACTTGTCATGAATTAAATCTCGTTTTCCTCTTCCACGAGTGAAACCCTGCTAATATCAAATAGGGTGATGTTGGTACTGAATATGTTCTGGAGTCCACTGGAATCTTCACTATCTTGGAAAAACGTGGAGCTCACTTGAAAGGTGAAGCCAAAAAGGTCATCTGTGCCCCTTCTGCTGATGCCTCCATGTTTTTGCTGGGCACAGACAATAAGAAGTACAAAAACTTCCTCAAGATTGTCAGTGATGTCTCCTGCGTCACCAACTTTTAGCCCCCTGGCTGAGGCTATTCATGAGAGCTATGGCATCTTAATGGGACTCATGACTACATTTTGTGCCATCTTTGCCACCCAGAAGGTCCTGGATAGCCCCTCTGGCAAAATGTGGTGAGATAACCATGGAGCTGCCCAGAAATTATCCCCTGCATCTACTGGCACTGCCAAGGCTGCAGGCAAGGTCATTCTTGAGCTGAATGGGAAGCTCGCTGGAATGGCCTTTTGTGTCTGCACAATGTGTTGGTTGAAGATCTGACCTGGTGTCTAGAGAAAGCTGGCAAATGTGATGACATCAAGAAGGTGGTGAAACAGCCATTGAAGGGCTCCCTAAAAGGCATTCTTGGCTACACTGAGGACCAGGCCATCTACTATAACTTTAACAGTGACACCTACTTTTCCACATTTGATGCCGGGGCTGGTTTTACCTTCAATGACTGTTTGGTCAAGCTTATATCCCAGTGTGACAATTAATTTGGTTAAAGCAATGGGGTCAATGGGGTGGTAGATTTTTTAGATCACATGGCCTCCAAGGTGGTCTCTGTACCACCAGCACCAGAAGGAGAATAAGAGACTCTCAGCTACTGGAGAGTTTTCACATTCTAACATATTGAAAATCTCCCTTCCTTGACATGGTTTCCATCCCAGGCCCTCTGAAGAATGGAAGGGGCTTTGGGAGCCCTACCTTGCCATTTGCCATTAATAAAGTACACTGTGCCCAGCCAAACAAACAAAACAAGACAAACAAAAAAAGAAACAAAAAAAGAACCCCAAACCAAAAAACTTGGCATGATCCTAGGATCCTTCCCCAAACATAGCCAGGCATTTGTGTGAAGTATCTGTACCCAGGGAAGCATGCTTGAGTCTCAGCACCCAGGGATTTTACGTGAAGTTGACCATCTAGCATGATAAGAGAAACTCAGGACCTCAGCAATGAAAGAAGGTATATCAACAATCAGGATGTACAAAACAATCTGGATAAATCTGATAATCTGTTGAAGCATGACTAATTGCTCTAAGCTTATACAACATAATAAATAAGTAACAGAAAAAAATTTAGGGTCACATTCCCAGGGGTTGACCAAGAGTCAATCAGGTTTGCAGATTCCCTAGGAGCCATTCAAGGACTGACCAATCAGACCTGCTATGTTAACTCTTTCCTCACAGTCACATTGTCACTAGGCAGTACTCCTTTAAGGTGTTTTTTCTCTGTGACACTTTCCATCACCTAACATTGTTCGTTTCTTGATGGTCTCACCTCAAATAAAAATCTAAGAGGGCAAGGATTTGTTTTTATATTCCTATCTATTATCTATCTATCTATCTATCTATCTATCTATCTATCTATCATCTATCTATTATTTATCATCTATCATCTATCTATCTATCTTTTTTGTCCCCAGGGCCCTGGAATAGTACATATATAATCAATAAATATTTGTTGAATGAGCAAATGAACATAGCCTTTTTATCTTATTATTTTTAATTACTTTTTATTTTAGTTATTTATTTACCTATCACCCAAGAAGACTGGACACTTTTGGAAGTTACAAATATATCTTCATCTTTTTATGTCCAATACCTAAGGAATGTCAGACATATTGTGGGCTCCCCACATAGATTTGTTAGATCATTGAAGAACAAATAAACCAATAAATGCCTTATTATAAGAATAAAATAAAAGCCATTTTGTAATTACAAAAGAAATATGTTATTTTATCAGAAGGGAATAAATAAGTACAGTAGAACCTTAAGGCTGAGGGAAAATGGTATGGCTAGAATACATAAATTACCCATACCAGCCATGCTGATGTAACATCTATTCAATTAATTTAAATTGTGTCACATTATTATAAAAAGAGACTTCATTCTTAAGTTTTGAAGGAAAAAAGGAAACAAGAATTACTTATTAATATTGATCACTGATAAACAAAATTTATGTTCAAGTAATAAGTTATTCATTTTTAATAACATGAAAAATTCCTCTGAAATGCTTAAGTGGTTCTTACAAGGGTATCAAATTTTATACTGCTAATGTATTGGAAATACCTTTATGTCTACACACACAGTGGCATAAGGAATACCACATTTTTCTAACTATTTTAATAAATCAAAATTCAATCCTATATTTGAGGAAATTTTCCAAAATGTCAATCGTGTTTATATTAATTTTCCTCTTTCAGACTAAAGAAAAGTCCCTGAAATTTAGGTTGATTTAGGCACTATAACATAAGCTTTCCGGATAGAACTTGTTTGGGTTCAAATTGTGTGTTTGTTCTTTAGATACTGTGTGAATTCGAGCAAAAAATCTTGCATTTCTTTGTCTTTGTTCTCTCAGTTTTGAAATGGGATAAATTCTAATACCATCGGGTTGAGAGGTTTAGACGTGTTAATGCGTGTATAATACATGGTAAATGTCAGTAGACCATAGGTCTTTTGTCAGCCCACAGGTTACCAACAAGACATGAACTTCTCCGTTTGTATGGGCATTTATAATTTGGCAGCATAGCTACTTCTGCAACACTTTTGATTCATAGATATCAGAGAAACCATAGTGACAAATATTTTCTCTTTCTTGATGAAACATCAAACTTTGTAAGCTCTGTGGGTTGCTGCCACTAAGCGATACAAAGATCTCAGCTATTCTAGAACTTCTCAACTCCTGTCTTTTACCTCATTTTAGAAAGCCTGCTTTTTACCTTGTTCCCCAAAGTACTTCTCTTTCTCCTACTCATACACATAGTATCATCTCCTCTGAGTCTCCAGTTTTTAAAGGAGTTTGACTGTCTCTGTGATTTTTTCTGCAAAACATCCTGAGGCATAGAATTTCAAAAGGCCTGCTTTTAATACCCCTTTGAACAGGGAGAAAGAGAAACTATTAAGGAAAACACAGACATTGATATGTTGAGAATGATCCTGCCATGCTGCAATGTTCAACTTTATATTTTTCCCTACTTACCATAGTTTTACCAATTACTAAGTTGGTTATATCCACACTTTAGTATTATGTTTTAATTCACCTCACCCTATAACTTACTATGTTTGATTATATTAATTTAAAAATAAAATAAGCAAATTCAAAGAGCTTCTTTAAGATCATTCATGAATTAATAAGGAAAATTATCTTCTGAAGAGATAGAAGCATAGAATATCTAGGAGTAAGAGTTGCAGAGTCAGACAGCTGTGGAATTCAATATGGGTTCCACCACTTAGAGCCACTTACTAACTTCTAGCCAATAAAGATAGGTAACAGATTTGGGGTTGCAAAGGGGTTGTGGGTGGCGGGAGAAATTGACCACAAAGGGGAACAAGAGAACTTATGGGTGTGATGGATGTATTCTATGTCCATTGTAGTAATTTGAAAACACATACACACACACACACACACACACACACACACACACACACATACACACACACAAAAAAAACACTGTACCTCTAAAAAGGTATGAGTGTTACTGAATAAAAATTATACCACAGTAAACCTCAGTGAAAAGAAATGGGATGATGCCTTTTCAAGGGTGTATTTAACACCCAGTGAGCACTCAGTAAATATTAGCTTTTATTACCATTATTACTTAGTATTCTCATAAGAAATAGTATTTTCCTTGGAGAGATATGTGCAGCATTTTGTTATAGCATGTAAAAGTATAAATTGTGGGGAATTGAGAGGGAAAAATATTGGAAATACTTCCTACAGTCTCTCAAATCTATGGATATGGAGAAATGATTGGATTGACATGATGTTGAGACTGGTTCAAAGGTGGAAGTGAAAAAAAAAAAAAACAAAAACAAACAAACAAACAAAAAAAAACTGAAGAAAAACAGAGAGAAGGTCAGATCATTAAGCACTTTGTTTCCTGAACTTTAAGAGTTGTTTCTGGTGTGTGATCTTCCCTTCCTGTGTCCATGTGTTCTCATTGCTCAATTCCCACCTATGAGTGAGAACATGCGGTGTATGGTTTTTTGTCCTTGCAATAGTTTGCTGAGAATGATGGTTTCCAGCTTCATCCATGTCCCTACAAAGGGAGGGGGGAGGGATAGTATTAGGAGATATACCTAATGTTAAATGACGAGTTAATGGGTGCAGCACACCAACATGGCACGTGTATGTATATGTAACAAACTTGCACGTTGTGCACATGTACCCTAAAACTTAAAGTATAATTTAAAAAAAAGTGAAAAAAAAAAAAGAATTGTTTCTGGTTTCTCTGTCACAGGGATTTTGGGAAGCAGGCCACTGCCCCCTATTCATATACAATGGGCTTTTTTTTTTTTTGAATGGCCTAGTTAAGCTGCCTGCTAGCTTAAAACTAGAAATATAGAGCTTCATTTTAGAATGATTATCCAATAAAAATGGAGTAATATTTTAATATTATACTAAGCTACTTATTCAGAATTTAACTGAAGTGTGTAATTGCAGTGTTAGGGAATATATCTTCAATGCTTATAGAATTCTAGGGGTTTTTGACAACTTTCTATAAATTTAGTATGTTTATTTCTGGATTAGTTTAGTAGAAGTAGTAAAAAATGTATAACCTCTTCAGTAGAAATACAAACCTTTTTTTTTAGATAGCTTAAGGCTTCTTACTGGCTAACAACAAATTATATAGCTGGGTTTTGAATAGAAGAACAAGTAGGCCAGAAACTTTCATAGGCTCATTTCAACAACTCCTAAATTTCTCTTACCTGGCCATTGGGTATTAGATTATTCATCATTACTTGGAAACTGAAGATCTTTAGGGATTGTTTGAATAGGGGAATATACACTTTAACTGAGGAGCGTTTAATTGTAACTATCTTTTGATTTCAGCTCTTTTAACTTACTGGCCCTATGACATGGGACAAATTACTTAACTCTGAGCTTCAATTTCCTCTTCTGCAATAGTGCAAGAATTACTATACCTACTTCTATCTAACGCTGGGAGGATTAAATCCTATAAATCAAGTAAAGTACTCAGGAAAATGCCTAGACATAAGAACTCAATAAGTGCTACTTATGTTATTATTATTTTTATTTAAATAATTTGGCACAGGTCAGAAAAAGCAGATCTAAATATAAAATTTGAAAGAAAAGCAAATGTTAAATAGGAATAATACTTTCCAAATCACATCTATTAATTTATTTTTCTTTCTGTACTTTTTGTTTTATAGGGGTTAGAAGTTTGTGTCTCTAACTTGAATGTTTTTATGGGGTTGAAAATATTACAAAAGGTAGCAATAACTAACATTTATGAAACATTTATTCCAGGACCTGCTCTAAGCACTTTCCATATGCTTAGTAAGCCAATCTTCACCAGTCTAAGAGTTAAGTACTATAATTATGTCCCTTTCAGAGGAGAGACAGGCCTTGTACTAGTAGTTTGTTCTGATTACACAAAAATAAAATGGTTCAAAGAGTCTTTGGTCTAAAAATGACTTCAGAAAATAAATAGAAACCTAAAATTGTGTTATGTGTGTGTGTATTCTTAACACTGGCATTCCAATCTTCTTTTTCTTACTCTATTCTTCTTCTTTTTTTCCACTGCTACTTATGACTCGCTCACTATATTCCCTTGATGGTACCAGACAGTTTCAGTATATTATCTCAACTGATGTACATGAGGAAATAATGTTAGAATTGTCAAGTTTACAGCTGAGGAAACTGAAACACAGAACTCAGAAACCTGCCCATGCTTATTAAGAGGTAATATCTGGTTTCATGTAACATCTACTTGCTTGCATAATCTGATACCACTACTGGTATGTCAGTGAAAAATATGATAGAAATGTTTTCTGACCACTATTTTTAAATAGCATGACATTGAAGGCACAACTGTTAAATCATATTGCCAATTTCATTCATTCATAATACCAAATATAACATAGGAAGATGGTGGCTGAACCAGTGACTGTTATAATTATCATTATATATTCTATGCTTAATAATTTGTAGACAAAATATGATTGTTTATATTATCAAATTTACTACTAGAGAAGCAGATTTTTATGTTTCGTTCCATCTTTGCATAGCGTTACCTGTTTCCATCTCTGACTTTAACTTCTTTTTCCATTATATTAAATTCATATACTGCTAAAGGGATATGGACTCTCAGGGGCTTATTATTTTCCTTTTGCCAATGCCCTCAAGGGTGCTGAAGAACAACTCCTGCCTCCTCATCATTACCATACACCACATATGACTGGGAGCGGCTGCACATCTTCACACCATGACCAACACATATACACACACACACACACACACACACACACACACACACCCCTATGTGTACATTTGCCATATTTCTTTTTCAACTGAACAAGGTAATATAAAGAAACTTTATTTCTAAAAATGGCTTCAGATTTTACTTTTCTCATGTATAATGAAAGAAGAAATGTCTGACAAAATAATTTCCATGTTTCTTGAATTTTCTCAGTCATTCCCAACTTGACCTGAATTCTGTAATCCTTTATCCCTTCAGTCATCTCTATTCATATTCTATCTGGTAGATAATTCTCTCAAATGTGTCAAAAATATCTAAAACATTGTGTTTTATTACTTTGTTCTTGTCAAGAGAAACAAAGGCCACTCTTACCTAATACCAGATCTTGTAGCTCACATTGTGTAGTCTGATGCTTGAATCAAATGGAGATTTAATTTTAGATGTTTTTTGTTTAGCTTATTGACTTTATATTATATTTTTTAAAATAAATTTTCTTATTTATCAACTTTACATAGTATTAGTAGGCCTATGTTATAAAATATTAAGTAATGAAATAATTTAATTTTTAACTATTAAAAATTACGTTAATATTCTTTATAATCTCAGGTTTCACCTCCTATTTTTGTTTGGTGGCTGTCCCATTTGTGGTCATTGCAGTTTTCTGCTTTAAATGCATTTTATGTTGAAGAAAAATCTGTGGGGTCTTTTTTATCTGCAATCTTGGCTCAGCTGTTCGCAGGTGAGGTCCTCATCTTGGAAAGTCTCACTCTCCTTTAGCAATTCTTCTGTTCTCTACTCCTGGAGATGGCTGCAAAGACTATTTTCTATATATGCTTATTTTTCTTGGAATTTTTCAGGGCTTACATGGTCTCAGTAAAAACTTTAAGGGGTAGACAATTATAACATTTTTAATATTAAAATATCCATGAAGTTGTTGTGATTCCAGTAACAACTAAATAAGAAATTCTTAACAAGAGAGACACTAATTAGTGCTATGTTATTAGCACACATATTTAAACATTTTCTATGATATGTTAATTTTAGCAAACCACAAAATGGAAGTGCCTTTTGTGACTCTTAATTTGAGGCATTAAAACAAAGCAACTAAAATGATAGATCTATGAAATTTTATATTTTTATTACCTGTCTAAACTCAGAACATATTGGTTTAGAAGAATAACTTTTATTTTGGGGATTGTCACATAGTGAATGCTCAGTAAATATCCATGCAATTTTCTATCATTACAGCAGGGATAATTTTGCTGCAGTGCAAGATCTGATGATGGTAGACAATATACTCAACTTCCAGTTGTTTTCCTATGGTAACTGAATTATATTTTAATATATTTTTTCCCAGCAGAAGGGTAATAATTATTTCAAATATTAAACAATAAGAAATAAATTATGCACTTCACATAAATACAATTTTGAAATAAATTAGCTAGATAATCATCTGACCTTCTTTGCATCAGAGATAAAAGGCTGGTCCAAATGATGTGTTAGCCCTATCTATCAAACCTTATGATTCCATCATTTATATGTTTTGGAATTTTTAAGTATCTGGCATGAGAAAATTCAGTTGGTATAAATCAACAGAGAGAACAGGTAAGTGTCAGTGGGGAAGTTACGGAGGTATTTCCTACTGCTGTCAGATGTGCAAGAGCCTTTAACTGACACTGCTTTTAATGAGTTACATGGGAGAGAACTGCAACATACAGAAGGGTTTTATACGTTACTATAACTAACGAAAAATCCGTCATCTACTACACACTACTTGATGGGACACATTTTATTTTGTGATGCTAGGAATGATCAAGAGTTACTGAATTTGCCTTTTGTGTAAAATATAGAATTAATTATTACCCTATTATTTACTAGATATTGATAGGTAAAATTTTGTTTTCCTAAATGGAGAGTGAATTAACATAGATTATCTTAACATCTATTGCACATTTAATATAAGCTCATGTTTGTATGATTAATGAATATTGAATTTTTTTGTGCTAGGCAAAGTGGTGGGTAGGTCAGCAAATGCCTTTATAATCAGCAAAGATATATTGCTACACTTACAAGCAAAAGTGTAAAAGGAAAATGCAAATGATTACTCTTAACTTGATGCCTCTTTCAACCAGCATGTAAACAAAAGTACTATATTCTTCCATCTACATGTTTGTCATGATATACATGATACAATACTTTGAAGCAGAATTTAGAAAAGCTAAAATGCTTTAATAACTGTATACATTTCTCCTTTAAAATAAACAAAATGGCTTGTTTTAAAAAGAACATCAAAATTCCCTATTTGTATTAACAACAAGAATTTTGAATGTAGTATTCCAAAAAAGATAATATTGAGAAAATAGTCTAAGATTGGGTATGGCCAAGAGCTAAAAATCAATGCTATGGAATGATAGTTTGTTTTGTTGTATTTTTAAGTAAGAAAAATAGGCCAGGGAGAAGATGTAGAAAACATAAACAAGAAAAAGAAAACTTAAATATTTGACATATTTAGGACAAGGTATTCTTGATGGATCGTTGTCTTAGCTTGTTTCCTGACCCACATAGTGCCTAATATCTATTAGAGAGAAAGTCTTCTGACTACAACCCCCTTTTATAAGCATTTCTCCCCAGTGCTCTGTCAATAGAAAGAAAAGCTTTGATGTATTCACTGACAATTATTGGCTATTCTATCACTCTTTTCTTGTTCAAAACATTTATTTGGCATTTCTACAAATACAAATTTAAAATTGCAAATAGGAACCTAAATGTACTGGCCTTGGTATGGGTGTGTATTCTCTACAGATGCATTCTACTAGCAAAAATTAATGTTTTCACGGGAACTGAGTATAAAGATACTAAATATATAGATCTTTGCTGAGGAATTCTGATGTAAGGTAGGTATCTCATAATTCACAGTACACCTGATGCTAACTAATTTTGTGAGTTAATGATTAATTTGTTGAATCAACAGAATGTGTTTATATTGAACATTTAGTTTTGCCCAAATGATTACGAAAGTGTCCCTATTCATGTGGGTATTTTGATCTTGTGTGAATATAACTCAGAACCTAGTATTAATTCTAAACATTGTCAAGTTTAATGCTGTGTGCTACAAAAGGGTTCAGGTAAAAATTATAAAATACCTTTAAATTATTAGACATTTTGTCTAATTAAATATAAGCATGCATATATTTGCCAACATTCAATTAATAGTTCTGTTTTTAAAAATTTCATCTAGATGTTAAATATTAAATCCTGAAATTTATATCAAATTCCTGTAGTAGATTTTGTAAGAGAAAGGAAATGGATTAAAGAGAAGTTATAATGCCTCTATTAATTATTTTCAATTACATTGACTATATCATTTGGATTGCTGGAAATGAAGAATAACTATTTTACCTTTAAATGATTTCCTGCCCGTAGATAAATTTTTATGTATCAATATTACCAGCAAAGAAAATCCTGAAGGATGAGTTTTCAGTTTCTTGTGTTATACTTTCCCTTTAATTTCAATGTGAAAGGCCAGAATTCCATCTATAATACATGATCTGACAAGAAAAGAAAAACATCTGCAATGATTTCATTTGTGATTCCATTTCCTGCATTGCGTTAGATGCAATATAAAACCTTTTACACAAAACATCAAAAGTGTTTTATTTTGATGATTAAAATAAAAAAAATACAGCACTCCCAGGACGAAAACTGATCATATTTCCAACAAGCAGTCTCTGTTTATTTTATCTACCTGAAACATTTGAATCTCCAGATTCAAATGTTTTGCTAATCGGTTTAAATCTCCAAGCAGGCTGTAGTTCCTTAAATATTTATACAGTCTTAATGTACATCATGCTGGTTTTATTAATTTTAACCCCAAAGCCTCTTCTACCAATTACTACTTAATTACTATATTGCTTTTCCTGTTGATCGCCTTTGTTCTTTACTACAATATTAAAAAAAAAAAATGGTTGGGGGAGGGTGGAGGCATGAGTCTTGAAACAGCTAAACAAAATACCTCTTGGAATGATTCACTAAGCAGAACTTCACTCCTCTGACTCACCTGCCTATCGCAGGCAAACTTTATTGTTTTGGTTTTGCTTTGTTTTTTTCTTAATCCAAAGGCATATGCTTTCTTTTATCCTAAGAAAACAAAATAAAAAAATAGTTTTGTTTGATGGTGTTGATTTTAGTCTTGATGTACCTTGATAAAAGCACATCAAAGTCATTGAATCATCCTATCTTTCAGCCCATCAGCAAAAGAAAACATGCCTCATGGGAGCTTACTAAAATCCTTCAGCCAAAAAAATTTAAAATATTACCCTGGTTAAATTCATTTAATATTTTATTTTACAAAATGTGTTTGTGAAAGGCGTTTGTTTCAAGTGCTAAATTTTTAAAAATTCTAATATCTTTCTAGAATGTGAATTATTTTAGAATGTAAAACTAGACTTGTGAAATGCAATGATTAACACACACATGTACGATTGGAATATTTGCCATTTTAACTTTATCTGAAATAGTATCATTAAATATAACAGGGAAGTTTATTTTTTTAAATTTGTATTTGCCTAAATAATTACAAAGAAATATTTTTCACTACAAATATGAATCAATTTTAAAATCTACTCAAAGGATAAAATTCCATACTGTCATATTTTAGACACTGGGAATTGAAATACTCAGTTCTGGTTTCTAAAGAATATAAGTTAAAAATTATATTATACTTATATTTGATATGTTTACTTATAGTTTAGTGATTTTTATCTTTTACACCTATCATTTATCTATTTGCAAGTGAGATATATAAATATATGCACATGTATATGTATCTCACACACAAATCACACTTATTCTTTCACATGTACGTCAGTGGAGGGACAGTCTGAAACAGAGTAATAAATTGATATGCACTTTTTAAAAAAAAGTGATTTATTATTTATTGTTCCCTGTCTTACTAGAAGTCACTGGTTGATATTAGTTGCCAAAGTTTTAAGATAATTTAGTTTAATTTAAAATGACTTACACTCATTGTTTTTCATACCATTTCAGTTCATCACAATTGTTCTAGCTTTTTAATGGCAGTTCTATTGAACAAGTAAAAACTCAAAATAGATTAAAAAATTTTTTTAAAATAAATTATACATAAAATATCTGAATTAGGCTTTGTAATTAACCCTAAACCTCTTTTTTTTCAATTTTTAATCCAAGTTGTTTTATTATTATACTTTAAGTTCTGGGATACGTGTGCAGAACGTGCAGGTTTGTTACATAGGTATACACGTGCCACGGTGCTTTGCTGCACCCATCAACCCGTTATCTACATTAACTTTAAGTATAGTTGAGTATTGATTCTACATTGTGTTTTACAGTGATGAAAAATATATATTCTTTATGCTGCCACTAATACATATTATGTTTCTAACATTTTAAATAGCATTTAAATGTAAACCCTAAATACTCATACCTGTCCCTAGCACATAGTAGATGCTAAAAGTGTTGATGCTTATACGCATGAATCAGTAAGTATGTTCCATAGTACAACTTTTCAATTTATCCTGATCAACTAACCACTGCACAACTCTCATGGTTTTTATGTAAGTGAACAAGCTTCTAATAATTTTTTTCTTTGTAGTCATCTTGCAGGAATTCGCGTGTTACATTTTCCCATATTTATTTTATACCTGCAGTGAAAACTCATCTGTCCAACCTCAGCTTACTCAGCTTTCCTGCATGTCGAGGCATTCAGGATGCTTTCTAGTCTGGTCCAAACTACTTTTCTAACTATCTCCCACTGTTTCCTGGCATGAGTCTTCTCTATTCTTGAGAGAATAATCTGCTAGCTTTCCCTCAAACATATCTAATTTGCTCTTAACTTAGCATCTTTGTTTCTGTTGAAGCCATTATCTTCTTGCTTCTAACACAAATCACACTCATTATTCAATCTTTAGATCAAACCCTATCACCCCCAGGAGCTTTCCCAACCACTGTGGTTTCCTACTTCCATTAGAACCCCGACACTATGTTATGACTAGACCATTCCTTTGTTTGGAGTTATGATGTATGCTTCTCTTGTCTGTTCAATAGCGACATAAACCCTAGATTTTTGCTGAACACCAGTATGGTATTTGTATGGAGATGCTCAATGTATTTTAGTGAGTAAAATAAGTAGATATGCTCTGCTGGATAATTAGCTCACATTTCTACTCACTGGAAAAGAGCGAGTAGTTATTTCCAACTGCATAGATACTACGAGGATTTAATTATATTTGTTGACATGGAGCTGCATTTCACCATTGTACAAGGTTCCAATTAATCCAACATATGTAAATGTATGACATTATACCCACACCAAGTCACGTGCTGCTATATTAGGACGATTTAAAATCAAAACAAAACAAAACCACTTCCTTTTGCTGAAATATGAAATGGAATTTGTTTTCTTTTCAGGTTTTTTTGTTTGTTTTTGAAAATCAGGTATCATTAACACAACAAATGCTCTTCTAGTCTGCATTTTGGTACTAAAAATAAAGATTACATGATAAAAATGTTAAAGCATATTTTATTTTAAAAACTGACAGTCTTAATTTTTCTTTAACAAGGGTTTGAAGAGATCAATCATCTATTTTTATATTCTGGAGTTCAGTTGTACACAGAGGACCTCATTGCTTGAACTTTCCTTTTCTTTATACATAGACATTTTTATAAAATATTCATAAGAGATTGTTGACTATAGAACTACGGCAATCCTCCTGAGTGATCCTCGGAGTTTTTCAGTCAATGAACTCCATGCGGCTCTGGCAGCATGAGCTACGCTCCATAAATCAGACTAAAACCATTTTATGCTGCCTTTAAAATTACTGCTATCAACAAAACCCATGAGGCTGAATTACTTAATCTATGCAGATGTTGTTAACTGCATTAATTATTTAATTCTGACAATAAAACAGCAGTTCCATTTGCCTTAATGCAGACCATTCAGGCTGCTAAGTTTTGAAAGGAAATTTAACATTATGACCGCTAGATGGGAGTAGACAACTTTTTAAGCTAGGTACAGACAGTTTGAAAATGGTAGTTGCTAAACTTAGATGTAAGGTAATTCTAGGTTACTGTATTACATTTCTAACCAAAGCTCATGAAATATCTTTTGTTAACTAGTGTAGGTTACATTAAGATTGAATTGCTTTCCTCAAGAACCAAATTGATTTGAGGGAACTTTCTTCTTTGTTGTTAGTATAGTCATTTCTATGATTTCATGATGAATACACAATATAGAAACTTTAATATCTTTATTGACATGAAAACCAATTTCACATACCAGTTAAATAAACACTGGTTCCATAAAGTAAGTGGTCCTTTTGAAGTCTGATGGTATTTATTTAATCACATTAATTAGAAATTAACACAAGGAATTGTATAGGTTATTGCTACCTTTAGACTGCTAGTCTAAAGGATTACTTTACGCACATGTGTTGAATATTAAACTTCTCCAATCAGCCATGTGCATAAAGCCAGACATGTACAGAAATCAAAATTATTACTATTTTTTTAACCAGGACATAGTGAACCATGGCAGGACAATGAAATTATAATTGGTTCTAATTAGCACTCTTCAAGCTGTTGATTTTTAAATTTTTTCATTGTTTTTGTTGTTAACCTGCATCTATATCACACAGGAAGAAAGGTAAAAACTATCTTAGGATATAACACAAAGACGACCAAAATTCATGGATGGCTCTTTCAGTTTGAGTGAATATCTCTGAAGCTTACATTTGTGTGTGCGTGTGTGTGTGTGTGTGTGTGTGTGTGTGTGTGTGTGTGTGAAGGCTGGGGGTAGGGTGGTGGATGAACTCTGAAATAAAAGTTTATTTTAAATTGCAATATTTTTCTCAAGAAAAAGCATGTCACTGTAACAGCTACGCTCTTTTTGTTATTGTTGTTATCATTTATAGCTACATAGGGAGTGGGGTCATTAACTTGAGTCAAATGTCACAATTTCTGCAAAAGCTTTGAGCTTTCTTACTTTGCTTTGTTTCAAGAATTGCTGGAAATCTCTCTGATTCTAGCTCCAGTTGTCTTCAGTGAGGCCTGCCACACATGTGAGAGGAACATGAAACTGATTATCTTCTTTGTACAACGCTAGTTGACATAAAAAATATTAGATATCTGTTTCTCTTACATACGTCAAAAATAAAAAAAACACAGTCTTTCAAATGCACGGTCATACTGTGTAACAAATTGAAATCTCTATGAAATTATTTTCTGTGTGCTCGGGTTCACCTCTATTTTTTAAATGTGAATTTTTCAATGTCAAAACTTTGCAAAATATCTGAACAGATATGACAACTGGAGCTGTTCTTTCAGGCTTATTTTCTCTATAATGCCAATAGGCTCTTTAACAACCAATTTTCATCGAGGGCTTACTTTTATAATAATATGTTTTACTTTATTTACATTTGTTTCATACAGAATTTATTACAAACTTAGTTTCTAATAATGTTGTCTTTAAGAAATTGTTCATAAATATAATCTCTTACAGCAGGTTTCTTCCAGTTGATCCTTTAACCACAATTTTCCTCTTTCAGTCTCATCTCACAGTTATCCTTTTGTCAAGTTTACACTAAATTTGCAAAATTACTTGATTTGCACAAATGTTGAATTTTATTCCAATGTTAGTGTTTTTTCTCAAATTAAATATACATTTTAATCTGAGTAAAAATGCCAAAGGAAAAAATATAAAAAGTGGTTTTTATGGAAATTGTGAAATTTTAAATAATACAGTAACTATTAACTATGTCTACTATCCTATTAACTTGCAATAATATGTCTTCCAAGTGATGAACAAGAAAAAATGTTCTTTGTAATATAAATAAAATGTGCAATTTCAGAAGAAAGTTCTAAACAGGTTTAAATGTCTTCAGTATTCCCCTTAAGGAAGCTGAATTACGTAGCATCATTTTTAACAGTAAAAATAATACTATGACTCTTCAATATATTTTAAAGTAAATATTTTCATTCATACACAAGATATAAAAATGCATATTAAATCAGTTTAGGCAACCAAATACATCCCATTAATAACACCTCATTTTATATGGCTTGAGAGCTTCAAAAGATTGATAAATTCATTTCAGAAAAAAATGTAACAACGAGACAAGTTAAAAAGAAAATATCAATTCAAAAACAGATCTAATTTAATTTTCTTGTTTTTATGACCCTGATGACATATTGGCTACAGAAAATATTTCAATTATAATTTATATACTTTAATAGAATAAGTAGAAAGTAAAAGATTGTTATCAAATGATGATTGTTTCTTCTTAGCCTTATTTTTCACTAAAATGCAAACAGATTTTTCCAGGTTATTGTGTCTTATATTATGTGTAGGATCTTAAATGATGCTCAAATTTTCATCTGTCTATGGAAGCATGTTTTGGCACATACTCTGCATCCTGTATTTTCCGGTTAACTAATTTTTATTCTTCCTTCTTAGTTGTAAATATCAATGAAGCAAATATATACACATACATATATTGGTATAACTATTTATAGGATATATATTTTAATTTCTATGAAGTATTTCATTTTTTGCATTTATGTCAAAGTTGAGTTGTCTTAAAAGGAACTCCCCATTGTCTCTCTACATGTGTTCTAATGCATTGCCTCATAGCCAATCATGAAATCTGCAGAAGATACCAAATTGAAATTGCTGGGGACAATTGAGTAAGGCCACATGGGTTTTGACTCTGGTTTTTGTTGTTTGGAAGTGTCCAGTTTCTAAACAATGTGCTAATCCTGGAGAGAGCAAGCCATCTTCAATTTAACTATATAAAATACAAATAAAGCCAGGTTATATGTTTCTGTGCAAAGAAAATAAAGGTAAAATAAAAAATAAAAACGAGCTATGAGGGCTTGCTAATTTTTTGCTTATATTTTACTTATATTTTGTTTTCTTGACTTAAATGTATTATTGCCTAGGAAACTACATAAACTTCTGAGTGTCTCAGTTTCTCTATAAAAATAAAAAAAAACACCACCTGCCCTCTCTCTGCCACTCTCGTTTCTTTTTTAAAATCACAGAAGTATTAGAAGAATTAATGAAATCAGTTTTGCAAAAGCACATTCAGCCCTGGGGTAGAAAATGCTCTGAGGAAATATAACATGATAATATCAAAGAAAATGTCTCTGTAACAACAACAAAAAAGCTATAGGTATGTGTATGAGGTGAACAAAACAACTAGTGTACATGCAAAGAAAGCATGTCTTAAGGTATCTAACTGCACTGTCTGCAAACCTGAAGCTCTGGAGGTTCCTTTCTTGATTGCCAGTTAATGCTAAGGATTATACAACTTCAGTAACTGAAATAGCTTAATTGCTATAAATATTATTTGCCAAAGCTTAATGTGAAACTGTTTATTTCCAGTTAAATTAGAGCAAAATTTTATGTTATGAAGAGATAGAATAGACATTGTCTTATGCTTTTGCTATTGGCAGTGGTAACAGATATTATATGCTGTTTTGCCTTTTCTGTTTAATGATATGTGTGTGTGTAATTTAAGTTATATGTTTAAATATAACATATGTATCTTAGATGTGTGTAAACTTCAGAAAGTGCATATATCCAAAAGCTGACCTACTAGATTTTCAATCTCTTCATTTTTAAACAAGAACTTTAACAAAATTCGATATTTCAAAATAAAGTAAATGAAATATAAGACAAGTGTATTTATTGAAATTGACAACCTCAATTAGTATGAACATCAAATATACATACCTATAAAATATTGCATAGGAAACATTTAAGATTTATACATATTGATCTAATTAGCCATTTTAGTTTACCCAGTCAAGATACAATCTCACACTCTATTCTGTTAAACAAACAATAGTAGTGAAAGAGATTTCCCCTTGCCTTCAAAATAAAATATACTACTAATTTTTCATAGCTCCAGAATTTAAATAAGTAAACACATATTGTGTACTGTATTACATTTTATAGTTACACTCAGCATATCTCATTTGTAGAGAAATCTTATTCAAATTTCACAGAGTTTAGTGTGAATGAGAACGTAAGAGTACATTACAAAAGTCAAAGGGAACCAAGGTGGAATAAAGCTGTGGCTTCAGCATTTCTAAAGAGAGAACAACCCTTCTAAACAAGCTTATTTGATTTGGGAATTTTCCAAGCTTGCTTAACATGAACTACATTTTAATTCCAGAATAATCAGCCAGAGGGAATGGTTTTATAGTCGACACATAAGGTTTGAAATACTTGGACTTCCTGCAACTACAGGTTCAAATCCCTGCAGTGCTCCATTCTTCGGTGGTGGCTGAGTTAAGTACCACGCACGTGTATACACATGTGTGAGGGGATGTTTTACAGATGAGGCGTCCAAAACGAGAGCATTGGTTGCACTGTGTGAGGATCTCATTGCAATTTTCCAAAGAACAGAGTGTGTGGCTCATGAATGACTGCAGCTTCTGGGAATCTTGCCAAAAACCTAGGGCAACAGAGAGTGTGGCTTTGCTCTAAAGGAGATTAAACTCCCTATTTAAAAGCTCCCTATACTCCACTATTGTGAGGGTTACACGCATTACCTTTTCCATGTGAGATGGTGAGTTAATACACATGCCTAAATGCAATATCTTAATTGTCCTCTCTCTCCTTGTCTGACAGAGTTGGTAGACTTGCCACCACACACAGCATTCAAGGTTATTGATTTTCAACAGCACACACAAAGGCTATTGCAAGGGAAAATATTATATGCAGTGGATGGATAATCCTATAAAAGGCAAAAAGTGAACCATAGGAGTTAGTTTAGTAAGAACATAAAAATAAATATTTTTAGTAAGCTAAGGTAATGAGATGAATTTATCTGTGATTCATTTAGTTGCATGTTTTGTAACTATGGCCTGTGACATCAATATCACTATTTTTCACAAGGATTAGATAGGAAAATATGAATAAATCAAAACTTGATACATAACTTGAGCTTGTCCCCTATTATACACTGTTAAAATAGTTACATTTATATATCTATGAGGAATTAGACCAACAAAAACTAGCTATCAGATTAACAAAACTATGTCTTTCTAGCTTATCAATCAGCTTATCAATAGCTTATCTATTTAGTCTCAATCAGTATAACCTCTCTCTCTATATATATGTGTGTGTTTATTTATATATATATATATATACATATGTGTATAATAAACTTTTATATGGCCCTTATATATATTTAGTGGAGAAATTTGTTTTATTTAACAAATCATTTAATAAACCCAATTTATTTTATAACATTTAACATTTAACATTTTTGAAATTATTCATAAAGAATGTGAGATAGGAAATAATGAGTAACAAACAATGTTTCTCCTGCTGTTGGTGTTTTCTTAATAACATTTTTATTTTTTTATTTTTGGAGTCATAATTTAATCATGCTGTGATATTGCAAGTGTCTAACATGAAATAAATCATGGAATAAATATGATATAGGCTTCTAACATCCTTTCTTCCTTCCTTCCTTTCTCTCTCTCTTTCTTTCTTTCTCTCTCTCTCTTTCTTTCTTTCTTCTTTCTTTTTTTGTTTTTGAGAGGGAGTTCTGCTTTTGTTGTCCAGGCTGGAATGCAATGGCACGATCTCCGCTCACTGCCACCTCCGCCTCCCTGGTTCAAGCCATTCTCCTGCCTCAGCCTCCCCAGTAGCTGGGATTACAGGGGCATGCCATCACACCCAGCTAATTTTTGTATTTTTAGTATAGATGGGGTTTCATCATGTTGGCCAGGCTAGTCTCGAACTCCTGACCTCAGGTGAACCACCCGCCTCAGCCTCCCAAAGTGCTGGGATTACAGGCATGAGCCACCATGCCTGGTTTCTAATTTTTTCTAATTTTTAATAAGTCCACTAAATTATTCACCTGAGAAGTAATGTAATGACATCTCAGCTCACAGAATCCCTATGAATTGCAGTTGATGTAATGAATGCAAATATTCTCTGAAAAATATAAAGCATTGTGAAAGTATGTTTTTTTCCTAAACTTGGAACTTGTATTAAAATTAGCAGTTTTTGAAGCAGCCAAAGAAAATAATAAAATATGACATAAGATAGTGAACATACAAGTATTCCAATTGAATCATTACATTGTAAAACAAATCATGGTAAATATAGTTAATTTACATTTAGCTTTAGGGGTCTCACCATTGGTGACACAATATGATTTTCCAGAATGTTAGTTTTGTGATTTTTAAAAATCTGGTTGTGGATATAGACTATTAGAACAAGTCTGGGTGTGTGTGTGTATGTGTGTATACATATATATATATATGTTTTGCATATAGGTATACAAACATATATATATATATATTGTACAGAGTCTCATTCTGTCACCCAGGCTGGAGTGCAGTGACATGATCTTGGCTCGCTGCAGCCTCTGCCTCCGGGTTCAAAAGATTTTCATGCCTCAGCCTCCGGAGTAGCTGGGATTACAGGCTCACACCACCACTCCTGGCTAATTTTTTTGGTTGGCACAGCTGGTCTCTAACTCGTGGCCTCAAGCGATCTGCCCGCCTTGGTCTTCCAAAGTGCTGGGATTACAGGTGTAACCTACCATGCCAGGCCTTGAGTATTTTACATTATTATTTTTTAAAGAACATTGGTTTGGCGTAGTAGCAAGTTCAAAAGCTCTGAGTGAGACACAAGTCTTCAGATTTGTTTCGCCAGTTGCTTTATATACCAAAGGTTTGAAGATACGAAGCTACAGGATCCTTAGCGTGTCACTTCCCTAGCCGGAAACCTCTGTGGCTGGCATTGCCTCTGATCGGGTTTTGTTTGCACCCCCTGGGCTCCTTCAGCCCCTTTGGCCCAGTAGGCTGAGCTCAGTTTGCGTGAAGGGCCCGGATCCCACGCCCGCCAAGGGCAAGCCAGACCCAGAGCGGCAACGGGTGTATGAGCAAGTGAACGAGCGTGGGGTCCTGCCCTGCCACTGTGCCCAGCCAGGCACGCCGCACCGGCTCTGGTGTGGCGAGCTGTGTTGGGCTGTGGTGGGCCCGGCAGCTCCAGGCGCCAGCACAGGCGCTGGCTCTGTGTGAAGCTGTGGCTGGACCAGAGGTACAACAAGCTGCTTCCGCTGCAGGCACCCTCATCTGGACAAGGGGAACGTGATGGCACCTGAAAGGTCAGAGATGCCAGGAACTGCAGAGCACCTAAGCGGGTGTTACAGCGTGTCACAGCCCTGGCTCAGGAAGCCCCAAGGTCTGGGCTCCCAGGAGGGCCGTAGCTATTCTCTCCTTCTCGTCACCGTAAGGTGGCAAATGGTTGGGGGCAGGGTGTAGTGTTTCAGACCTATTTGTGTTACAGCTCTTTTTTTTTTTTGTTTTGTTTTTGTTTTTGGAGACAGAGTCTGTCTCTGTCGCCCAGGCTGGAGTGCAGTGGCGCTATCTCGGCTCACTGCAACCTCTGCCTCCCGGGTTCAAGCGATTCTCCCGCCTCAGCCTCCCGAGTAGCTGGGCTTACAGGAACCTGCCACCACGCTCGGCCTTTTTTTTTTTTTTTGGTATTTTTAGTACAGATGGGGTTTCACCTTGTTAGCCAGAATGGTCTCGATCTCCTGACCTCGTGATCCACCCACCTCGGCCTCCCAAAGTGCTTGGATTACAGGCATGAGCCACCGCGCCTGGCCTGTGTTACAGCTCTTTCAGTCCCACCATTCGGTGGGTCCCGAGTTCTTGTCCCGCATCAGGGGGGAATGAGGTATGCAGAATGAGCAAGGGAGAGAGGAGCTTCATTGAGCTACATAACAGCTCTCAGGAGACCCAAAGTGGGTAGTTCCTTTCTGCATCCATGTATTCCGGACGTGTGTCTGAGTCTGGCTGAGTCCTGGGATTTTTATGGACTCAGAAGGGAGGAAGTACGTGATGATTGGTCCATAGGTGGCCATGGGTAGCTGGAAGAAGCACCATAACTTCTCACTCCAGGCGGTGGACTCCACCCAGAACTGGCAGTTCAACCCCAGGCTTCAGACTGTTGCTGGCTTGAAGGTGGGGATTTTACTGGGTACCATTCCTTTCTGCCTAGGAACCTGTCTGCCTCCTGTCATCAACATACTGTCCATGGTGCTCAGGCTGTTCATGCCAAGGGGTGCCTGCTGGCTCTTGCGGAGCTGCCCTCAACCCTCCTCCCCTCCCCCCGCACTCGTCAGAGCTCAAAGTCCAGAGAGGGTCAAGGTGACAGGGGGTTTGCATGGCAGCCTGCCCCGGAGTGCACACACACACCTGGCCAGGTCACACAGCAGCACCTGGGCTCCGCCGCCACCACTTCGCTCTGCACTGGGGTGAGCACTCGGAGTGGGGAGAGGCCAGGGAGTAAGAGCAGGTACTTTTGAGACTCTAGGGGCCAAGGGCTTCTCGGGACCCCGGGAGCACAGGGATGCCCGGGTCTGAAGCCACAGCTGGGTAGCTGCAGCTTTGCCCAGGAGCCTTGGGCTTCCATTCGGCCAACTTGGTAGGGGGCAGGGCTCCCACCTGTTTCTGGCTCCCGCTGGCTCCATGGAAGACACAGCCCTGGCCATGCCTCCCCCGCTGCAGCTGGCGTCCTGCAGTGGCTTCTCCAGATGGGCCACTGCCATCATCAATTATTCACAGATGACATAATTATCTATATGTAAAAAACAAAAATATAGAAATAAACTGATTTCTAATAAAAAATGTTACTGAGTTGATTGTATTAAAAATCTTAACATAAATCTCAGTTGCATTTATCTACAGGAGCAAAAACTAAAATAACTCTGGGACAATATAATTTTCAACTTATGTTACTTGTAGCTACCTCAGAAACAAAGTAACTTGAATATTACTAGCATGCTTTTTCTGAAGAAAGTAAAAATGTTTTGTTGGAAGCATTAAGTAAGACCTAAATAAATGGACACATATGTCAGGTTCTTATATAGGAAGAGTCTATAACCTGTAAATGTCAATGCTCCCCAAACTAATTTATAGATTTAATACACTTAACATCAAAATCCCTACAGTTTATTTTGTGTATCATATCAAGAAGATTCTAAAATTTATAGTAAAGAGAAAGTGCCAGAATTTTCTAAGACATTCCTGTGAAGAACAGGAAAAGGGAATTGCATCATCAAATATTATAAATTATTATAGTCTTTTGATAAATAAGACAATAGTATTAGTCTAGGAACTAAGAAAACATCAAGTAGTAGAAAAAAAAGTCCAGAAACAATCCACATTATGCAGATTTTTGATATATCACAAATTGGGCTTTGTGGTTCTATGTAAATTGATGAAGTTTTAAATGGATGATGCTGATATAATTTATTATCTACATGGATTATAAGTGAAGTTGGAACCCTATCTTGTATTATGCACAAAAATTATTCCAGGTGGATTAAAAACCTTAGTTTTAAAGGAAAAACAATAAAACCTTTAGAAGTCAATACAGATGAATATCTTTATGACCTCAGTTGACATTAATTTTTTTAAGAATCAATGAGCAAAAGTAAAATAAAGATCAATTTGATATCACTAATGTTTAAAGTTATAGTTGTTCAAAATAGCATGTACAAAATAAAACAAGTTAGAGCAGAAAATAAATTGCAACATATGTAGCTGACCAAAAAAATGATGAATAAAAGAAAAATGATTATTCAAAGAGAAAGGGGCAAAAGTCCTGAATAGATATATGAAACGTGATCCAACAACACATTGATATTCTAAAACTTTTAATAAGCAGGGGAATGAAATGTAAGACCAATAAGATACAACTTCTCACCAACAATTTTGCAGAAAATTAAAAAAAAATTGACAATAGGAAGTAAAGATGAAGTTGTGGAGAAACTGGAACATTGTTATATTGTTGAAGAGTTTAAATTAGTAAAATCAGCAAATTTTGAGCAAATCGATGTCCCATAAAAATCTGATTTTTCATATTCACCCTAGGGGAAGGTGTACACCTGGAGACATGTATCAGTATGACCTTGGCAGTATTATTTGTCTTAGCCCCCCAAAAAAGAAATCAGTTGTTCTTCAATGGTAGCATACATAAGTAAATTATGATATATAAAGGAATTCTGTACTTAAGTAAAAGTGAACAAATGAGAATTATAAACAATAACATGATTGAATCTCAGGAATAACATCAAAGACACAAAAAGCATGTTGCAGAGAAACATAAGATTGCTTTAATTTATTATTAAAGTTAAAAATATTTAAAAATGTTTTATTAAGGGTAAAAATAATTTTAGTATAATAATAGATATAATCAAGAATACAAAAGGAAATTCAAGAAAGAAGTTGCCTCCCTAAGGAAAACAGGATGAGGTGGAAGAAAGTTATGCAAAGGGTTTCAATGTAATAGAAATATTTTATTTAAAGCAGATGGTTGGTGATGAGTATTCTTAGTATTATTCACCTATATGTTCAATGAATATATGTGAATGTAAATATTCTTTTTAATATTTCAATATTTAATAAATGTCTTGTATAGTACAGAAAAAATGACTTATCAAAGAGTCATACATTATTTTTTACTGAAAACATTTTACTCAGGCTGTCAAAACATTTGTCAGATTGGATCATTTGTACTTGGGCAACGATTTGGATACATTGTAGGCTTCTTTACTGACATGTGAATGGAAACTGTCACATTGAACTTTCCTGATAACATAAGAGGAAGCTGCACTGTAATACTTAATGGTATTAATAGTCAGGATGTTCTTGAAGACAGCATTTATTACATCATTCAGCGAACCCTCATTAGGACCAATGAAAGAAATTTTTCTTAGCACTTATTAAAAAAAAGCAGATAAGAATAATTAACTGTTGAATAAATTTCTCATGAATTAATATTGTAGACTTAGAAACAACTTCTGATAACTATATAACCTAGTCTAACTCTTTTCCTCATTTCTTCTGACTTTACGGCCTCACAGAGTCTATGTTGTGGCCAACTTTAAGCCACCAAATAAGAATTTAGTAGTTATTTTGTGTAATGTGAAATCGTATCTTTTATTTCACATTATTTTCCAGCATTTATTTTTATTTCCATAACTTTATATATTTTACTTTTATACTGTATCAAACATATATGTGTATCAGCTGTTGTCCATTCTGTTTTGAATGAATGAATTTCCAAGTACCTTTTTAAAATTGATTAAATGATATTTTAAATAGTGTGACTTGATCTTTTATCAATGAAAAATTGAAATCTGAGTTTTTGAGAAATTCTCCTGCATCGATGATATTGGCAAAGTAACAGCACTTTTAATACTAAATAATCAGAATGCAGATAAAATTTATATGTTGCTTATACAAATATGTTAAAAAGTGCTCTATATAAACATATTACATAAACATTTAGTTTTCCAACATTCTTAAAGACAGATAGCAAGAAGTAATATTTACAATAAAACTAATGTTCACTTAAAGCATGTAGGCATGTTTATTATGGAAAATAAGATATAAAGAAATAAAAATACTTAAAGATCTTTAGATAAAAACAATTTTTTTAAAAATCTATATCCCTTGATATTTTAAAAGTGGAATTGAGAGCTGTCTACTCAAATTGGCTCCAAATTTTTACTGGAGTCTTAATTCACATTTTTAAAAGTCAAACAAATTTTACAAACATTTTTGAAACTAACTCGATGACTTAAGCCATACAAACGCATCAACATATTTGTGCAGGGAGGCATAGCCAACTTTGTGGTGTTTGGTATCATGCAGATGGTGGCTTTCAGCATGAGCCTTTGCTTTCCTTCAGCAGTGATCAGGGAAGTATATACACTCCTCCTGGCTCAGTTCTGAAATAAGCTGTCAGACAAGGACCCCAATATCCATTATTGTGGTAAAGAAAGGTAGCACTGAACTTTTCATATAAACATAGATCATCATTGACATTTCATCCAGTAATAGGTCATGACAAAGTTTTGCCAGATCTCAGAATCAGTGCTATCATTGGGTCTTACTGCACAATGTCCTATGCATTTTCATAATGTGTTAGAGAAACAGCTTTTATGCAGTGTTTTCAATAATATTGTTTTCTCTCTGTGTCTGTTTCTCTGTCTGTCTCTCTCTCTCCTGCTTTGCTTTCTTTGCATTTTTTTCTTTATCTTTTCTTTCCATTTTTTAATGTCTTTTCTGCTGGTGATTTTCACTGTTATAATTCAATATGTTTATAAGTATCATGTTCTCATTCATACCAAAAGTTGTTTTCAAGCATTTTTATGTCTACTAATGAGTCATATCAACTAATAATTGGTATGTTCTAGTAATCTTTTTCAGCCTTGGAGATTTTCATAATTGATTCTGGTCACATTATTTTAATCTTTGCCCATAATTTTAAAATCTGTATTCCAGATATTATTATACAAAATAAGTCAATTTTAATTAAACTGTATGGAAATAGTAGAATAGATTCAAGACTGACTCTTATCACATGGCTCTAAAAGCTTTAGAAATACTCAGAGTGCTTCCAATCGGAAATATTTTTTGCCCAGTCTCAAGCTGTACCCAGCTTTGCTTTCACACTCTCTCTGGAGTCATTATACCAGTCAGACAATTAAAAGACATATATGTGTGTGTGTGTATATATATACACATATATATCTATACATATATATACATATATACATATATATGTATATATATATACACACACACACAGACACACACACGCACTGTATATATATATAAAGGGTATATATATATATATATAAAGGGTATATATATATATATAAAGGATATATATATATAAAGGGTATATATATATAAAGGATATATATATATATAAAGGGTATATATATATATATATATATATATATATATATAAAATTTATTTACTCATTCCTTCAGGCCCAATAATAAAGTTGAGCTGTCTTTTTATAAATAAGCTTGCATTTGGGGTTCCATTCATTTTCATTTATTCATTATGTATTGAGAATGTTTTATATATCAGAAATTCTTCTATGTTTCATGAATATATTAGTTGGAAAAAAAATGTTGACTCAATTGAGCTTACATTTCATTGGCAGAAAAAATTAATTGCTTTCCATGTGCCAGGCACTAAGCATTTTTACATGCAATAACCCACTGCATTCTCAAATCAACCCTGGGAGTCACATAGTATTATCTCCATTTATTTACCCAATAACTGTTGCTTGCCTTTTATATGTCACACACAGTCACTACTCTTATTTTGCTTACAGCACAGTGGAAGATATACATATTAAATAAGACTTACAATAATGAATATATAATGTTTGTGGTATTTAACTTAAACAGAGAAGAATTCCCTGAAGAAGTTATGATTGAGGTGAAAACTGAATAAGTATTAAGAACGAAGCAGACAATTAGAGGTTATTCTAAGCATTCCCACAGGGGGCATTACTGTATGTGAAGGCTCTTTTCCTCAGATATTGACCCTTCAGAACAAAGTCTACCATTTCATGGTCAGTAGGTATTTCATGTTTTCTTCAAAATAAAGCAGAATAAAGTATAGGATAGTATCAAGTTTTGTTTAATATAAAGCCTTGCTTAGTTAATAAATGATGCAGAGTAAGATAACTTGGAAACAGATTTATTGTTACAAGAAAATATTTGGTTTGGGCACATGCAAACAACCCAAGCATTTGTTTCAGTTGAAAACATTTGTTTCAGCAGAATATTTGGCTTTCATATTTGTATGTGAATTTTCGAATTGGTTTCCAATTGTAGCAAAGTTAGCATTTGGTTGGTGGCAGTTAGGATAGCCAGATGCTTCTGCACGTGTTTATGGAGTCCTGGGGGCTCTCTCAAGGTTCAGGGCCTCTTACCGTGTTTTCACTGGTTTTCTGATGGAAGATTTGTCATGTAGTTGTAAACTAGAATTACCCAGACTTTCATTTAAACAAAAATAAAAATTTAGAAAAACTCACCAAAAGTGAAAAATAGCCTCCACATCCTTAATAAAAATATTTATGCTTTCCTGATTCTTAAACATTCAAGAGACAGAATACATGTTTAATTATATCTGTATTTATTTACCATTCACAAAAGTGTTTTTTTAAACAGTCCATAAACTTCGACCTTAGAGATAAGATCAAGTATGGCAAACTGGAGTTTAACATTTGTTCAGGTTAATAGCAGGATAGTTGTATGTAAAGACTCCTCATTTCTCCTTATGTTTATAATACAGAAAAGTCAAGTTTCTGCTAATTGAAGAGAAATCTAGCGTAAAATATTGGGAAGTTATGGAAAGTTCCAGGTTGCCTCTCATATCTGTTCACTCATTTTCCTTTGTATATGAATGCCCAGTGATATACAAAATCTTCCAGGCCCCCTGTGGCTAGACATGGCCATATGATTATCACCAAAAAGATAGAAAAAGAAGTCCAAAACTTCCATTTGGTCAACTTTATAAAATGTATTGTCCTGGAATTCCTGCCTGTCTTTTCCTCTACCTACAAGCTGAACATGGATGTAAAACTAATCTAGGATAAACAATGAAGCCAAGAACAATGTCATCGGCCTTAGAATGACAATATAGTAGATTGTACCATGACAGAGAAGTCACCTGTTTTAGTAAAGCTGTTGTACTTTGGCGCCTGCTTTTTATAACAATCTAGCACTTGCATGAACTATTATGATAAATATGATACTAACCCAGTTATCAAGTTGGTAATTTTGTAATAGTGGGAGCTGTTTCCTATATCGATAATAAAGACTATTTTTAAGTGTAAGACAATATCTGAATGTATAAAAATATTACTTATATCAATTCCCACTGTTTAAGTAACTAAATCTCAGTACATGTATATGTGTATCTGTGTGTGCATGCAATTCCATGTATATAGATCTACATAAAATTTTACCCAAGATTTCTTACACAATGTAAAACTTTTAGTTTTTAGTATAACTAAAATAAAAATAAATTTGCCAAAAATTATTATAATATATGAACCATTTTGCTGAAATATTGAAATAAAAGAAGATACATTATAAAATTTAATTAAGGAAACTTATTAAAACCAAAATTAATAAAGAAATAAGTATTTTATCTTAAATTGAACCTAGAATTTGACAGATCATATCCTCAAGGATAAATTAGTTTCCACAGCAGGGATAATAAAGTGAAAATAAAAATGCACTGAAAAATGCAATGTTTTCTGTAGTAAATACCACAAATTATAGAGAATGTCAAGAAACAAGCAATCTAAGGCGACCCAGTTATAAATATCCAATATATTCTGAAGCTAAATAATAAACATTTAAAAATAACTGAAAAACATATTTCAAGCCAGTTTCCTATATCAGAATGTAGTTCTGCTACATGTTAATTTTTTATAGATATGTTTAAAATACATATTAATTTTATGACTCAATGCAAAAACATTTAGATAATACAATATCTACATTAATTAATATACCTGCAATTAAACAGAGATGAAACTCCTACCTGAAAATGCCTATTATGAAAAACAAAACAAAACAAAAGTGCAGTCAAAGAAAACGCAGGTACATTCTGGTCTCTCTGGCCAATAAAACAGAAAAAGGAGTAAACTGATAGAGATCTGATGGGAAATTCAACGTCTAGTAGCTGTATTAGCCACATCTGCTCTCTGTCCCTGGCTTCACACCTGCGACAATGGAGCTGACTGCTCAGTGGCAGTGATACTACCAGCAGCAGAATCTGGGTGGGCCAGCTCACATTCTTCCCTGGGTCCTCCAGCCGAGGCAGTCCAATGTGCCTGTCATTCCCACCCAAACCATGTCCCACATTTGTTAGCAGCAGATGGGCTTTTCCAATTGCACTGGAAGTGCCAACAGGTCTGGTGTTTTTTCATCTTCTGCCCAACAATAAAAAGCAATACTCTTAGCCCTCCACTATAATGGAAGAAGTAGTTCTAAGTCAGGCATCAATTTGTCCTCTATCCAGTGGGTTAAAGATAGTTCAGGTAGGCACCTCGCTCCCTTTGGTGCCACGCCAGCGACATAATAGGAAGTCCAGTGCTCTGCATGCAATATTCTCCATCCTGCACATTCAGCATCTCCTACGTAAGAGATCTGGGTGCTTAGGGAAGCAACTTCCACCTGTGCCATCAGTACCAGCAGGGAATAGCGAGACATTAAGCTGAATCAGAACAAAGCAGTTCAGAATAGCATTGTGAGGGCTCAGAAAACTAAATTGTTATTGGAATTACACCCCACAAAACTAGACCAGTACCTGTACACTAAACCTAAGTAAGACAACTGCCTGTTAAAATTGAAGATTTAAATAGGATTAAGAGTCTCCTAACATACAATCTAAAATGCCCAGTATGCAGTCAAAAATCACTCATCATACCAAGAACTAGAAAAAATCAAAACTTGAATGACAAAAAGAAGCCAACCAATTGTTGCCGACATAGACACAAATATATTAGAATTGTATATCAAAGATTTCAAAGTAGTTATCACAAAAATACTTCAATAATTAATTACACATTTCTTGAAATCAATGAAAAAAATGAAAATGTCATTAAATAAATAGAAGTTATAAGATAGAATCAAATGGGAATTATGGAATCAAGAAATGTAATAACCAAAATAAAAACCCATCAAGTGAATTTTTATTTGGTTATTGCATTTCTTGGTTCCATAATTTCCATTTGACTCTATCTTATACCTTCCATTTGTTTAATGGGCTCAGTAGTAGAGTGGAGATGACAGAAGATAGAAGCAGTAAACTTAAGGGGATCAACAGAATTTACTCAATCTCAATCACAGACTAGACTGAAAAAAAACTGAACACAGTTTCAGGGACATGTGGAACAGAACATAATATCAAACATTTCTATTATTGGAGCCTCAGGCAAAAAGAAGAAAGAATATAGGTATAAAATATTCAAAAATAATTGCTGAAAACTCCCCAAATTTGGCAAAAAATATGTGAATTTACAGATTCAAGAAGCTAAGTGAATCCCATACAAGGTAAATTCAAAGCAATCCTCTCCGTGACACATGATAAGTGAACTTCTAAAAATGAAAGACAAAGAAAGACATCTTAAAGGCAACCAGAGAGAAATGATGCATTATCTATAGCAAAAAAAAAAAACAAAACTTATTCAAATAAGAGTGAAATTCCAATTTGACCATGAAGGTCTGAAGAAAGGGGCACAATATTTTTAAGTGCTGAAAGGAAGAAGAACTGTCAACCACAAATTCAGTATCTTGCAAAACTGTCCTTCAGGGTTGATGGGGAAATTAAGATATTCTCAGGCAAAGAAACATTTAATTTTATCCTAGCAATTTACCCTTAAGGAATGGCTAAAAAATCTATCCAATTAGAATGAAAAAGATGACAGAAAGTCTGCGATTTCATTTAAAAATAGGTATATTAGGGAAAATATATTTTTTCTCCTCATGAGTTTTAAAAATCATATTAGATGGCAGAAGCAAAAATCATGTGATGGCCAGTGTACGCAGAGAAATAATTGAGACAAATTTTTATAATGGGGAGGGACAGAGATATTAATAGAACTACAGATTCAGTAGTTACTTAAAGTGGTAAAATATCACTAGACATGGTATTGTTCACCTGTAATCCCAACTACTCATGAGGCTGAGGTGAGATAATTACATGAACTCAGGAGTTCAAACCCATCCTGGGCAACAGAGACAGAGCCTTGTCTCAAAAAAAAAAAAAAAAAAAAGTAAAATGTCAGTAACTGTTGGTTGTGTTAAGTTATATATATGTATATTGTACAGCTTAGAACAATCATTAAGATAACTATACAAAGTGATATATTCGAAAACAATTAAAAATATAGAATTCTATAAAATATTCGTGTAATCCAAATGAAGGGAAGAAAAGAAAAATAAAGAATGAGAAATAGAGAAAATAGAAATAAACGAAATCACATATTTATGCAGTACCACAACAAAAAATTACTTAAATGTAAATTATGGAAATACACTGATTAAAAAACAGAGATTGACAGAGTGGATTTTAAAAAAATCCATGTTTTATATGCTGTATTCAAGAAATTCGCTTCAAACACAATGTCATATGCAGGATGAAACTTAAAGGAAAAAGATAAACCATGTTAACATTAAAAAAATAAATTGAGTGACTATATTAATATCAGATAAAACAGGTTTCAAAGCAAAGAAAATTATCAGTTATAAAATGATATGTTATAATGATAAAATAATCCATTAAAATGTTTCTATTGACTGAATTATGTTCATCAAAATATATATCTTGAAGCCCTAATGCCAGTGTGACTGTATTTGGAAATAGAGCCTTTAAATAGGGAATTAAGGTTAAATGATGTCAGAATAGTGACACTAATTCAATATGATTGGCATCCTTAAAAGAAGAAGAGACATCAGGGATGTGCATTCACAGAGAATAGGCTATGTGAGTACATCACAAGAAGGAAGCTCTATCTGCAAGCCAAGAAGAGAGCCCTTAGAAGAAACAAACTTGCCAATACCTTAATCTTAGACTTCTAGCCTCCAGAACTGTGATAAAATAAATTTCTGTTGTTTAAGCCTCATTGCTTGTGTCTTTTTGTTATAGCAGCCCTAGCAAACTAATACAGAGGTCATAGTGATCATTAATGGGTATATACCACACAATAGATCTTCTAAACACAGGAAAGAATAAAAGAGTTAGAAGGAGGAATAGACAAATCTACAATTGTAGTTGGAAACTTCAACACCCCACTCTCAGTAATACAATCAATAGACAGAAAACTAGCAAAGACAAAGAAGAGCTGAACAACACCATCAACTGATAGGAACTAACTGACACATACAGAACTCTTTAATCTACAAGAGCAGCATGTACATTTCCTTCAAGTTCCCATACTTCATTTCATATGGTGAAAACACTCACCAATATAGATTATATATTGGATCATAAAACAGTCTAAACAATTTAGAGAAATTAAAAACTATGTGGAGTATCTTCTCCAACCATAATGTAATCAAACTAGAAACTGGTTACAGGAAAAAAAAATCTTAAAACATTTGGAAACTGAGCAAAACATTTCTAAATAATCTGTGAGCCAAATAGGAAGTTTCAAAGGAAACAAAAAATTCATGAAATTAAATGAGAATTATAATACAATGCATCCATATAGGTGAGATACACCTAAAGCACTTCTGAGAAAAAAAATTATACAATCGTTTACATCAGAAAAAGAAACAATTTCAAATCAATAACTTAAATTCCTATTTTTAGTATTACAACAAAGAAGAGTAAATTAAGCCAAAAACAGGGAGAAAGAAGAAATAGTTAGAAAATAATAGCAAAATTGGTCGGGCGCGGTGGCTCATGCCTGTAATCTCAGCACTGTAGGAGGCCGAGGCAAGCAGATCACGAGGTCAGGAGATTGAGACCATTCTGGCTAACACAGTGAAACCCCGTCTCTATTAACAATACAAAAATTAGCTGGGCGTGGTGGCGGGCGCCTATAGTCCCAGCTACTTGGGATGCTGAGGCGGGAGAATGGTGTGCACCTGGGAGGCAGAGCTTGCAGTGAGCCGAGATCGCGCCACCGCACTCCAGACTGGGCTGCAGAGCGAGACTCCGCCTCAAAAAAAAAAAAAAAAAAAAAAAAAAAAAAAAAAAAAAAAGAAATAATAGTAAAATTAATAATACAATTAAGATTATGGAAATAATAAAGGAAAATCAATGAAACAAAAAGCTAATTATTTGAAAATATCAATAAAATAGATAAACCATTAGCAAGAATGATAAAGGTAAAAAGAGAAAAATGCAATGAGTAATAGCAGAAATGTATCACTAAGGATCCTGAACTTACTGAAGAGATAATAAGGAAATTCTATAAACAATTTTGAGGTACAACTTGACAACTTAGAATAATGAACTGATTCTTCAAAAACTGCAAAGTACCAAAATTCAATCAAAATAAATTGATACAGTATTATAATCATTAAACATTTTGAATTTCTAATTAACACCTTTCCTAGAAAGAAATATTTGAGTCCACATGGCTTCACTGTTAAATTTTACTAAACATTTAAAGAAGAATTGACACCAATTTTATGTAACCTTCTGCAGAAAACAGAAGAGAATACTTTCCAACTCATTTCATGAGATGAGTATTATCCTGATATCAAAACTAAAGACAGTACAAAGAAAATAAAAGGAAGAAGGGAAGGAAGGAAAGAAAGAAGAAGAAACAAAGCAAAGAAAGAAATAGAAAAGAAAACTGCAGAACAATATCTCTCATAAACCTAGACCCCGAAATTCTTAAAATATTAGGCAGTTAAATTCAGTAAATTTTAACAATAATTCTGTGTGATAACCAAGAATTTAACACTATTCTACAACAGATTTTTTATTGACCCATGAAGAGTTGGTTTACCATTTGAAACAACACTATACTGTATCATATCAACAGGCTAAATTAGAAAAAAACCTGATTATATTAATTGGTACAGAAAAAGCATTTAATGAAATTTAATACACATTTATGATGAAAAAAACTTTTGGCAAACTAGGAGTAGAAAATAATTTCCATGACTTCACAGAGAGCATCCACGAAACACGAACAGCTGGTTTTATAATTAATAGTGAAGACTGACTCCTTTCTCACCGACATCAGGAACAAGGTGACGAATGACAATTCTCACCATTCTTATTCAACATAGAACTGAATGTTGTAGTCACTGAATTAAATAAAAAAAGGAAAGAAAAGAAAACAAAAAACATCTAGAATGGAATAGAAGAAACAAAACTTTCCCCAATTTCAGGTGACGTGATTGTCTACATAGAACTTCCTAAGGAATATATATATATACATAGGAATATATCTATATGTATATATAGGAATATATATATACATATGGGAATATAGATATAGGAATATATATATATAGGAATATATATAGGAATATATATATAGGAATATATATAGGAATATATATAGGAATATATATAGGAATATATATAGGAAAATATATAGGAATATATATAGAAATATATATAGGAATATTATATATAGAAATATATATAGGAATATATATGTGAATATATGTATAGGAATATATATATGGGAATATATATATGTGAATATATATATGGGAATATATACATATGGGAACATATATATGGGAATATATATATGGGAATATATATGTATGGGAATATATATATGGGAATATATATATATGGGAATATATATATATGGGAATATATATATATGGGAATATATATATATGGGAAAATATATATATGGGAATATATATATATGGGAAAATATATATATGGGAATATATATATGGGAATATATATATGGGAATATATACAGGAATATATATAAAGGAATATATATACATAGGAATATATATAGGAATATATATAGAGGAATATATAGAGGAATATATATATAGGAATATATATAGAGAGGAATACATATAAAGGAATATATAAAGAGGAATATATATAGGAATATATATATAGAGGAATATATATATATGAATATATATAGACAGGAATATATATATAGGAATATATATAGGAATATATATAGAGAGGAATATATATAGGAATATATATATACATATAGGACTATATATAGGAATATATATATAGGACTATATATAGGAATATATATAGGAATAAATATATAGGAATATATATAGGAATATATATAGGAATAAATGTATGGGAATATATATAGGAATATATATATAGGAATATATATAGAGAGGAATATATAGGAATATATATAGAGGAATATATAGAGGAATATATATAGGAATATATATATAGGAATACATATATATAGAAATATACATATAGGAATATATATAGGAATATATATAGGAATATATATATAGGAATATATATAGGAATATATATATAGGAATATATATAGGAATATATATATAGGAATATATATATAGGAATATATATAGGAATATATATAGGGATATATATATGGGAATATATATAGGGATATATATATGGGAATATATATATATAGAAATATATATAGGAATACATATATACAGGAATATACATATAGGAATATATATATAGGAATATATATAGGAATATATATAGGAATATATATAGGAATATATATAGGAATATATATATAGGAAATATATATATGGGAATATATATATAGGAATATATATATGGGAATATATATATAGGAATATATATGGGAATATATATATATAGGAATATATATACATGGGAATATATATATAGGAATATATATACATGGGAATATATATATAGGAATATATATACATGGGAATATATATATAGGAATATATATACATGGGAATATATATATAGGAATATATATATATGGGAATATATATATAGGAATATATATGGGAATATATATATAGGAATATATATATGGGAATATATATATAGGAATATATATATGGGAATATATATATAGGAATATATATATATGGGAATATATATATAGGAATATATATATATGGGAATATATATATAGGCATATATATATGGGAATATATATATAGGCATATATATATGGGAATATATATATAGGCATATATATATGGGAATATATATAGGCATATATATATGGGAATATATATGGGAATATATATATATATGGGAATATATATAGGAATATATATATATATGGGAATATATATATATATGGGAATATATATATGGGAATATATATATATGGGAATATATATATATGGGAATATATATATGGGAATATATATATATGGGAATATATATATGGGAATATATATATGGGAATATATATATGGGAATATATATATGGGAATATATATATGGGAATATATATATGGGAATATATATATATGGGAATATATATATGGGAATATATATATATGGGAATATATATATGGGAATATATATATATGGGAATATATATACGGGAATATATATATATGGGAATATATATACGGGAATATATATATATGGGAATATATATATGGTAATATATATATATGGGAATATATGTATGGGAATATATATATATGGGAATATATGTATGGGAATATATATATATGGGAATATATATGTATGGGAATATATATATATGGGAATATATATGTATGGGAATATATATGTATGGGAATATATGTATGGGAATATATATGTATGGGAATATATGTATGGGAATATATATGTATGGGAATACATATGTATGGGTATATATATATATGGGAATATATATGTATGGGAATATATATATGGGAATATATATATGGGAATATATACAGGAATATATGTAAAGGAATATATATACATAGGAATATATATAGGAATATATATATATACAGGAATATATATAGAGGAATATATAGAGGAATATATATATAGGAATATTTATAGAGAGGAATATATATATAGGAATATATATATAGGAATTTATATAGAGAGGAATATATGTATAGGAATATATACATATAGGAATATATATAAGAATATATATATAGGAATATATATAGGATTATATATATAGGAATATATATATAGGAATATATATAGGAATATATATATAGGAATATATAGGAATATATATATAGGAATATATAAATAGGAATGTATATAGGAATATATATATAGGAATATATATATAGGAATATATATAGGAATATATATAGGAATATATATATAGGAATATATATAGGAATATATATAGGAATATATATAGGAATAAATATATAGGAATATATATAGGAATAAATATATAGGAATAAATATATAGGAATAAATATATAGGAATATATATAGGAATATGTATAGGAATATATATATAGGAATAAATATATAGGAATATATATAGGAATATATATAGGAATATATATAGGAATATATGTATAGGAATATATATAGGAATATATATAGGAATATATATATAGGAATATATATATAGGAATATATATATAGGAATATATATATAGGAATATATATATAGGAATATATATAGGAATATATATATAGGAATATATATAGAGAGGAATATATAGGAATATATATAGAGGAATATATATAGGAATATATATAGGAATATATATAGGAACATATATAGGAATATATATAGGAATATATATATAGGAATATATATATAGGAGTATATATATAGGAATATACATATAGGAGTATATATATAGGAATATATATAGGAATATATATATAGGAGTATATATATACGAATTATATATATGTATAGTTTCCAGAACTGGAAACAATTTAGATGATCACCAAATATACAGATAATTAAACAAACGGTAGATCCTCCATGCTATATAACAATACTCTGAGATGTAAATGAATGGATTATTGTCATAAAGAACAGCTTGAATAAATCACCAGGGAATTGTACTGAGTGAAAAAAGTTAATCCAAAATGTCTCTGTATGGTTTAATTTTACAAAATGTTTTGCAATGACAAAATTTTATATAATATATATTTATTCCATATATATATATATATATATATATATATATATATATGGATCCCCGTGATATATATTTGTATATCAGAAACAAAAGCCTTCTAGAACTAATAATTGAGTTCACCAATATTGGAGGATACAAGATCAATCGATACGCAAAACTCAGTCATATTTCTGTAGATTAAAAAGGAACATGTGGAGACGAAATTAAAAATACAACATCATTTATACTCACTCCAAAGAAAATAAAACATTTAGGCAAAAACATTAAAAAGTTGTATGAAATATATATGCTAAAATTACAAAAAGCTGATGCAAAAAATCAAAGAAAACCTGAGTAAATGGGGAGATACAGTGTGTTCATGGATTGGAAGACTTAACACAGTGAAGATGTCTATTCTCCCCCAAATCAATCTATGGATTTCATGTAATTTAAGTCATATTTTACTAGATTTTTTATAGACATAGATAAGCTTATTCTAATATTCATATGGAAATATTAAAGTCAGAGAAGAGCTAAAACAATCTTGATGAAAAATAAGATGGGAGAAATCACTCAACCCATTATTGCATAAGTCTGTTATACAGCTATAAAAATAATCAGGAATGTGATATTGGCAGATAAATAGACACATCAATCAATGTGTTAAATAAAAGACAAAATAGAGAACTTATAAACAGATTAACACAAATATAAAAATATAGTCAACTGACTTTTTGACAGACTCATATTTAAATAAGAAAAAATAGTGTTTTTATCGCATTGTTCCGGAGTAATAGGATAGTCATAAGAGAAACTATGAACCTCCAATTAATCCACATGCCTTATATTAAAATATATTCAGGTATTGAAATATAAAATTATAAAACTTTTAGAAAACACATAAGGCAATGTATTTGGAATCCAGGCCTAAGCAATGAGGTCTTAGATTTGATACCAAAATTATCATCTAAAATAAAAAAATGGATAAATCAGACCTAATTAAATTTAAGATGATTTGTGCTTCAAAAGACCCTGTTAAGAAAATGAAAAAGCAGCCCATGGACTGGGAGTAAATATTTGCAAACCGCATGTCTGTCAAAGACTAACATCTAGAATACATAATGAACATTCAAACACCAACAGTAAAAAATAAATAAAAAACAAAACACACAAATCCAAATTGAAAATTGGCAAAATACGTCAGAAATTTCACCAAATAGTTTATACAGATAGCAATAAGCCATAAAAACGTCAGTAAAATTCCACAAATAATTAACACCATTAGCCATCGAGTAAAAGCCAATTAAAACCACAGTGAGCATTGTACATCAGAAAGGCTAAAATTTACAAAAAAAAAAGATAGTGACATCACCAAATCCTGGTGATGACCTGAAGGCACTGGATCACTCATACACTGCTGATGGGAGTGTGAAGTGGTACATTCACTCTGGAAAACAGTTTGAAAATTTTTAAATAAAATATCACATGACCCAGAAATTACACTCTTGAGCTTATATCTCAGAGAAATCAGATGTATCTTTATACAAGATCTATACATAAATATTCATAACAGCTTTAATCACAATAGACAGAAAACAATCCAGAACTGGAAACAATGTAGATGATCACCAAATATACAGATAATTAAACAAACTGTAGATCCTCCATGCTATATAACAATACTCTGAGATGTAAATGAATGGAATATTGCTATAAAGAACAGCTTGAATAAATCACCAAGGAATTGCACTGAGTGAAAAAAGTTAATCCAAAATGTCGCTGTATGGTTTAATTTTATAAAATGTTTTGCAATGACAAAATTCTAGAGATGAAGGGCAGATGGAGAGTTGTCAGGGCTCAGGAATGGAAATATGAAGGGATGAAAGTGTCGCTGTAAGAGGGAAACAGAATGGATCCCTATGAAGATGGAAATGTTCTGTATCTGGACTGTATCAATGTCAATACCCTGGTTGTGATATTGTACTAGATTTACATTGTATTTCAAGATGTTATCACTGGAGGAACCTAGATTAGGTGTACAAGAGATGTTTGTATTACTCTTTACAGGTACATGTGACTTTACAATCATCTCTCAAAATGAGAAGTTTAAATTAAAAAAAAGACTGTAAGAGACATAGTTCAAGTATTAGTTTTTCTGTTACATCCTTGAGGAAAACAAATTCCAAGAGTTGGATTACTTTTTGAGGACGTGCAGATAATATATTTAGAAATTTTGATTAATGCACAGGCTTTCTTAAATGTAGAGCAGCATTTTTTTTCTCCTAACCAGTTCCATTACAACACTTATTGCCCACGGTAAAAGGTCTAATATTAAGGACCAATATTAAGTGCTGCTTAGACAAATGGGGGAAGCCAGGAGGGCCTCAAATTGTCTAACCACAACTTCCAATCCCCATTCTTCCCTGATGGATAAGGTCTTCTAGCCAACAACCCTGCTTAATAAATTGACTAGATGTGCTTCCCACTTATCCTTGAGTAGCAGGTTTCAGTTATTTGTCAGTCTGTGAAACTATTCAAATAACCAAATAACAATCTCCTGTGGAGACCCTGGTTGTTCACTCAGTTCTGGAGCACAACTCCCCTGTGGCCCCATGTGGTCCTGCATGACATGTGATCTGCTCCTCCTCCAGGCTATAAGTGTATGTAACTAACAAACTGCTGCTGAGTTTATTGTTCCAGTGTCAGATGTAGTGTCTTTGCCTATCCCTCCAATCTTGGGATGGGAATCTCTTCCTCACCAATAGTATGACTAGAAGGCAAGTAAAATCCTTCCCCTTGTAACAAGCACACCCCTTCCCGTCGTTACCAATTAAATAGAGCAAATTACTATGGTGAAATTCCATCGCATTCGTGGATTTCCTAAAGAGTTTTGCTAGTAAAACTCTATAGGAAACTATGTCAATAGATAGAAAAGATTTTAAGCATTAAATTCATTATAGCCTTCACATATCAGTCTTCTAGAAGATATACAGTTGATACCTGAACAGCTTGTGAGTTAAGAGTGGTGACCCCCATACAGTCGAAATTCTATGTATAATTTTGACTCCCCAAAAACTTAGCTACTAATAGCCTACTGTTGGCTGGAAGGTTTCCTGATAACACAAACAGATGGTTAACACATATTTTGTATATTTATTATATTACTGTGTTCTTACAATAAAGTTAGAGAAAATAAAATGTTATTAAGAGAATCATAAGGAAGAGAAAATCAGTCCCATTAGTTTACAGCATCTCTTTACAAGTTTTATCACCTGTCTGAAATGGCAGGCAAACCTCAATCTATGGTACATATCAAGCAATTCAACTTTTCTTGTAATGTGGTAACTTTGATGCTTGGGAGCAATTCTAGCATCACTAGTGGCATTTTGTTTGGCTTCAACGGTGTTATTCAAGGTTTATGGTATAGCACTAAACATGATAAAAAATACTCAAGAAATGTGGGAGATCGCTTTTTACAGTGAATCACAATTTGCTGGAGAAAGGAACTACTCACACAAAGATGATTAGCATCACATGGTGTTATAAGTGGATACTCGCAACACATGAGCCCACTGCAACAGCAACAGAAGGTGGTTACACAATTATAAAAGTAGTAGAGTATGTACTACAGTTAACTTTATGCAGTTATGAATTAATATTGCATCTTTAAGTTTGTTCCCCTTTCTCTTGACAGCTAATGGAGCCATGTATGGTCTGTGTTCTATGTTTTGATAAATATTTACTTTGTATAACAGATTTGTTATATCTGATGGTAGCAAATAATAAAATAAACTGGTATCTACTGACATTCTATCTCTTCATGACATACCTAACTTTTAAAAATAATTGTTGATATTTCTAGGCTATACTGATTGTCTGCATGTTTTTCAAATTGTCACAAATCTCCCCCAAACTTTCCAATATATTTATTGAAAAACATTCACGTTTAGTGTTCACATGCAGTTTAAACTCATATTTTTTAAGGGTCAACTGTATACTGTCATCATTCATATAGAATCATTATATATTATCATTTTATGAAACACAAAATGATAAGCCTAGATAATTTCTCACTGTAGATGGGCAGCAATATTTAGGAAAAAAAATCTAAAATAAGAAAAGGCATAGAATTTTGATGCCATAACCACGACTATGACCATTTTTACAAAGAAGACAATATTACAAGTATAATAAGTTTAATAATAGCACTTGATTTATAATTTACATTGATTTCTCAATATAATTTACAGTACATTGTTCTTATATCATCTCGTTTATATTTGAAAACATGACAAATTATTAATATCTTAAGGAAAGTATTACTGCATTTTTAATTTAAAAACTAGGTGACATGCGCACTGAGTGGAAGTGCCACAGAAAAAATACATAAATGCTCTGAACTAGCTCACAGTGACAGCTGCGTTAACATCATTTGTTTTCGAGGTTTTTCAAATAACATTGAGTTTAATTCAATGGATTGAAAAGGGTTCTGGTATACTAAGTTAAATAAAGTGGGAGTAATTTCAATATTTTATGCAAATATAGGATGCAATAAGGAAATGATAAATAGGACAATTTTCACTTATGCAACAGGAAACACATACTGATTTGTAGGAAAATAAACCACAGATAATGTGAAAATAACAAATTGCTTACATGTAAAGTTCTAGGTGTTTTGATCAGCTGAGAGTATTCAAAAGTGTTTTAAAAATACTTTTAGCATCTAATATTGCGGACATTTTTCTCTGTGAAAATGTTTAATAAAAGTTACACAGAAATTTACTAAGGAAAATCTTTCCAATTTTATGTTATGATATTTGGAAATTTGAAATAGACAAATATCACTTATTCCTCCTTCCAGCCTGGAACACATGTTATTAACATCCTTCTTACCTGTTTTTTTCCTCTTATTAAAACCAGAGTAGTATTAAGCTGACAATAACTATTTGTAGATATTTGTAGACCTTATAATTTAATAAAAATGTTTCATCACATAAAATAAATAAATAAATAAATAAATAAATAAATAAATAAATAAATACATAAATGATTTTGGATGGCTACCTTGATTACCTCCCACTGTAAGAAATACATGATTTTCACTGTCATTGTAATAGTTCTGTGTACAAATTTATCACGGAACAGCTATCTACAGTCAGGTACTGAAGGCTAGTTTCTGTGAGCAGAAAGAAATGAACAACAACAGAAACAATTCTAAAGGGCTTTACAAATACTATAGAAGTTTGGATGATTATTTTTTTAGAAATTTAAAAGGAAATTATCAGTTGTCATAAAAACCCAGAGTATGCAACCTAAATAATATACAAACCTCCAAATGTGTTTCTAAGAGTCAAAAATTTCAGCGCAGATATAATCATGCTTATATATTAAGTCTTGAAAATATCTGTTTTGAAATGTTTAAAATAGTTTTTACTTTTTTTTCTTAGATGACTAGTTAACCTAAGTGCTAAGACAGTTCTCACGTTTAGAACTGAATAATAAGAATTTCTCAGATTACAAGAGAATAAATTCAGTGAAGTCCTGAGGTCTTTTATCGGAAGTATTAAGGACATTTACCTTTTATATTTTTGGGCCAGGAAATGAGTTTTATAGCTTAATGGCTGTATGGTCACTTGTACAGGCAAGTTGGAATGAGTATATCCAGAATCATATCCCCAGGCATTCAAATTTTTGTACTGTTAAAAAATTTTAAAACATTTAAAAGAAAGCGAGAAAAATTTCCTTATTTGAGAATTGTGCTAGCAACTGTTAAATGTCCACAAAATTGTTCTTTAAAATTGCCTAGCAAGTGGATCAGTGTACTTTGTTTACCATATGGGCATGCATAATAAATAATATAAAATTTTAAATATAAAATTTTAAAATTGTCTAGCAAATGGATCAATGTGCTTTATTTACCATACTGGCATGAATAATAAGTAATACAAAATTTCAAATTGCAATTTAAGCCAACAATTCTTATAAATGACAAAATGTCTGCTATTAAAAATGTCTAGGAACTGATAGCTTCATAAACTTCTTCCAAAAAATTAAAGAGAAGTTATTACTTCCAAAATCATTTTATAATGTCAGCATTATCCTGATGTCAAAACATGACAAGGATACTACATGGAAAAACGGCAACAACAACAACTACAGGCCAATATCCCTGACGGATCTACACAGACGCAAAAATCCTCAATAAAATACCAACAAAGATCAACAACATGTTAAAAAGATCATTCATCTTGATTAAGTAGGATTTATCCCAGTGATAAACTGATATGGTTTCTGTTTGCTGATGACATAATCTTATATATAAAAACCCCTAAAATCTCCACCAAAAAAACTGTTAGAAATAATAAATAAATTTAGTAAGGTCATAGGATACAAAATCCATGTGCAAAAATCGATAGCATTTCTATTCACTAAAAATCAACTATCTGAAAAAAATGAAGAAAAGAATTTTATTTTCAACAGCAATAATAACAAGAATAATAATAATTAGAACTAATGTATCCAAAGAGGTGAAAGACCTATACACTGAAAACCATAAAATATTGATGAATGAAATAGAAGACACAAATAAATGGAAAGATAGCTCATTTTTACTGATGGAAAAAATTAATATTGTTAAAATGGTCATGTTACCTAAAACCATCTAAAATTATTATAATCTCTTCAAAATTCTAATTTTTTTAACAGAAATGGAAAAAAATCCTCATATATGTATGCAACCATTAAAGACCCCAAATAGCAAAGCAATCTTCAGCAAAAAGAATAAAGCTTGAGCCATCACACTATGTGATATGAAAATCTATTGTAAAGCTATAAAAATCAAACAGATACTGACATAAAAACAGACATATTGGCGAATGGAACAGGATAGAAAACCCAGATATAAATCCAAGTATTTATGGTTAATTGTTTTTTGACAAATGTGCTAAGAACACATAATGGAAAAATGACAATATCTTTAATAAATAATGATGGGAAAATTGGATATCCATAAGCAAAAAAAAAAGAAATAAATGAAATTGGGCACTTATACCATAGACAAAAATCAACTCAAAATGATAAAGAACTTAAATGTATGACATGAAACAGTAAAGCTTATAGAAGAAGACATTGGGGGAAATCTCCACAACCTTGGTCTGGACAATGATTTCTTAGATAGGACACCCAAAGCACAGGTTAACAAAAGCAAAAATAGACAATTGGCTTTGCACCAAACTAAAATGCTTCTGCACAGAATAGAAAACAGTTAATAGATTGACATGATAGCCCACATATTAGAGAAAATATTTGTAAACCATACATCTGGCAAGGGGTTAATATCAAAAATATATAAGCAACTTGAACCACTCAATAGTAAGTAATCAAATTGCTTGATTTAAAAAGGGCAAAGAATCTGAATAACCATTTCTTTTCAAAAGGGATATGAATTATATATATAATATATAATATATTATATATAAATTTTATAATATATATAATATATATTTTATATATATTATATATATATATTATATATATTTTTTATAATATATATATGCTAAAAGTCTCTAATCACCAGGAAATTCAAATTAAAATCACAATATCACCTTACACCTGTGAGAATGGAGATTATCAAAAGGGTAAATGATAACAAGTGTTGGTGAGAATATGGAGGAAAGGGAATCCTTGTAAAATGTTGATAGGAATGTAAATTACAAAGTCATTTTGGAACATAGTGTGAATGTTTTTCCAAAATCT
>NW_017363815.1:0-139427 GCF_000001405.40 Homo sapiens | reverse complement strand
AAACTCCACAAGCCCCCAAAGCGCCACCACCTCTGCTGTGTTGGAACATCCACATCTCCAACAGACAGACCTCTGTGTTCCGGAGACACCGTGCAGGATCTGAGTGTGTTTGTTATCCAACGGGTATAAGAGGGAAATCAAACATTCTTTCATATCATTAGAAGCCCTGTGCAAACACAGCCCCGTGCACAAAGGCCTTTCCCGAGCCCATAACAAGGAACTGTTTGTCCTGGCTGCCTGTCTTTAGCAGTCGGAGCAGGGCCAAGCCGACAGTGGTGTCATGGGCCCTACTGCGATTTTGCTTTCTTGGACCAAAATTTTACAGGTGTCATGGGACAGAGCTCACCAGGTAGAAGTTGAATCAGATCACCTGCTGGGAACCTTCAGTAAATGCCACACTGCACAAGCTCGGAGCTGTGATGGAACCTGACAAAGAGCTTGCACCCAACCACAGAAAAGTCAAATGATCATTTTGTACATTTGCCTTTGTGCACGGGAATTGACTAGCCACACATGCCGGCAGCCGGGACTCGTGTCTGCCTGCAAATGATGTAACCAAAGAGAAACCTGGGCTCAGGATCAAATGTCTTCATCCTCACTCCCTTGAAGAACACAGACTTAACCCTGCAGCATCTGAACACTATCGAGGGGTTGGTTTCTTCACCCAAGAGCATTTTGATCAGTTCAGCCCAGACCCATATGTTTTTCTGGCTGCTGGGATTCATTGAGTCCATTTATTCTGTCTCCTAGAGTGGCACTGTCCAGTCCATTTGCCTCATGCTGCACGTGGCTGTTGAGCCCCTGAAAGTGGCTAGTCTGAATTATGATGTGCTGTAAGGATAAAATGTGCTTTGGATTTGGAAAGTTTAGCACAAAAAAAAAAAAAACTGTAAACTATCTCATTAATAATTATATTAGCTATATGTTGGAAGTATTTTTATCTATTGGGTTAAATAACATACAGTATTCAAACTCATTTCACCTGTTTCTTTTTACTTCTTTTAATGTAGCTGCTGGAAAATTTAAAATCACAAATGTAGCTCGTATTGTTTGTATTAGACAGGGCTGGGCTAGTGCTTGAAGGAAGTTTAGGTTTGTAGTGCCATCTGCTGGCTCATCCGGAGCAGACGTGAATGTAAACAAGAATGAAGCAATCTGAGCTAACCCACACGTTGTCTCTTAGCCTGGCAGCACACAACCTTTTTATTCCAGGAGCTTCTGAAGCAGGACCAGACTGAACCCAGAAGCTGCTGAATCCCCAAGAGCCTCGGGAAGGGGAGTGACAAACTGCTCAAAGGTGCAAGCCTGTGTCACCTCATGGGTGCCAAGGAGGCTCTTGAGATAGAGTAGTGGTTTGCTGCTCACCTTCCGCACTTGGGGCTCTTTCATGCAGTCTTTTTCACTGGTTGCTATTCTTAAGAAATATTTCAGGCCAGGCACCATGGTTCACCCCTGTAAGCCCAGCATTTTGGGAGGCCAAGGCGGGCGGATCACTTGAGACCAGGAGTTCAAGACCAGCCTGGCCAACATGGCAAAACCGCATCTCTACTGAAAATACAAAAATTAGCTGGGCATGGTGGTGCACACCTGCAATCCCAGCTACTCAGGAGGTGAGGCAGGAGAATCGCTTGAACCAGGGAGGTGGAGTTTGCCGTGAGTCAAAATCGTGCCACTCTACTCCAGCCTGGGTGACAGACCGAGACTCCATCTCAAAAGAAAAAAGAAAAGAAATATTTCAGGCCAGGAATAGTGGCTCCCACCTGTAATACCAACACTTTGGGAGGCTGAGTAGGGAGAATCACTTGAGCCCAGGAGTTTGAAACCAGCCTGGGCAACATTGTGAGACTTCATCTCTTTTTTTCCCCTTCTCTGTGGCGCAAGACCTCATCTCTACAAAAAAAAAAAAAAAAAAAAAATTTAATTAACTGGGCAGGGTTGTCCCAGCTACTTGGGAGGCCAAGGCAAGAGGATTGCTTGAGCCCAGGAGGTTAAGGCTACAGTGAGCTGTGATCATAACACTCCACTCCAGCCTGAGTAACAGAGCAAGACCCTGTCTCAAAAAAAAAAAAAAAAAAAAAAAAAAGAAATATAAGCAATCATTTAACAACATAGTAAGGATACAAACCCATCCTTCAGGAGACTGCTGTCCTCGCTTTAGATAATGCTTATTTGCCTTGATTTGTCAAGAATTGGAATTTGTCAAGATTTGGAATTTTGCTGGCAAGTACCTGCATCCAATGTCTATTGTTGCATAATAAATCACCCCAAAACTTAATGACCTAAAACAATAGTAATCACTTAACACCTCTTACAGTTTCTATGAGAAATGTGAATGTGAGTCAGGAATTCAGGAGTTGCCCATCTGAGCAGTTTGGGCTGAAGATCTCTCATAAGGTGAAGTCAGATGTTGGCTGGGGCTACACTCAACTGAAGGTTTGACTGGGGCTAGAGAATCTTTCCAGGGTGGCTTGTTCACATGACTGGCAAGGTGATGCTGGTTGTTGACTAGAGGCATCAGCCCCTCTCCACATGGGCCTCTCCACAGAGCTGCTTGAATGTCCTCGAGGCATGGCAGCTAATTTTCGACCTAGCCTCAGAAACTATACACCATTACTACTGCTGCATTCTGTTGGTCAAAAGGCAGGAAAAATGCATCTCACCTTTTGATAAAGGAATGTCAACATTTCATTGTAAAATTGGAAAATAAATTCCCAAAGTGCCCAACACTTGTATAGCACTGTACGGCTTTTTTAAAATGCCCTATTTTTCAGATGAGGAAATTGAATCTCAGAGAGGTGGAGTAGCTAGCCTGAGGTCTCATGTCTGGTGAGAAGGATGAAAGCCCGGTTCTTTTGACTCCTACTATATGCTAGTGAAGCCTATCCAAGTTATCTCCTCCTATCTCCCATATGCTATTGTAACTAAGAATCACACTGGGTTTTTTGTGTCTCCAGCATTTTCAGGATACATGGGGCTCTCTTCATTCAGGGGCTTTAGATATGTCCTTATGTGGTATCTCCCTATAACTTGTCATTTTATTGAGTTAGGCTGTAGGTCTTATGGAAGTACATTTCAACTAACTAGAATCTTTCTTACAAAAGTGCTACATCAATGAAAAATGACACATTTTCCAATATTGTTCATGTCATTTGCTTCAAAAATCTCAGAGACAATAACATTGCAATATATGTGTTCTTATTCTGTTTGATTATCCAGGTATTATTACATCTTATCTGTCTTTAAACAGGAAATAAGTAATCACTGCTTGCTTTCAGTAGTTTCCATATTACTTGGTCATCATAAAAAGGAGGTTTTATCATTTTTGATGTTCCGCCTGCCAGAATTAAAATCCAGCTGCCATAATCATTTTCTGTTATTCTTGGTTTCAGGTAAAACTTCCTTTTCCTGTAGATCAAATCACAGATCTTCCAAGGAACGATTTCCAGATGATGATTAAAATGCACAAGCTAACCTCAGAACAGTTAGAGTTTATTCATGATGTCCGACGGCGCAGCAAGAACCGCATCGCGGCCCAGCGCTGCCGCAAAAGGAAACTGGACTGTATTCAGAATTTAGAATGTGAAATCCGCAAATTGGTGAGTTGACCCATCCATTGTGATCAGCAACCTGAAGTGACCAGGACTAATGTAAAGTAACAGCAATGAAAGTTGGAAAAGTAGACAGAAGGGTCACCCTTTGCGGAAGTTTGGGTTTATTTTTTAAGAAGTTTCTCAACAGAAATAATAGCTTTACATCTGTGCGTGTGTGTGTGTGTGTTTGTGTGTCTGCACGCGCATGCATGCGCGCAGGTGTGTAATAGTGTGTCAATATTTTATATCCTTCAGTCATTATTCATATAGAGGTAGTTATTTTTTATTTTCCATCCAACATGTGAAAATAACTGATGTTGGCCAGATGTGGTGGCTCACGCCTGTAATCCTAGCACTTTGAAAGGCCAAGGCGGGTGGATCACTTGAGGTCAGGAGTTTGAAACCAGCCTGACCAACATGGAGAAACCCTGTCTCTACTAAAGATACAAAAAATTAGCCGGGCATGGCAGCACGTGCCTGTAGTCCCAGCTATTCGGGAGGCTGAGGCAGGATAATCACTTGAGCAGGGGAAGTGAAGGTTGCAGTGAGTGGAGATCACGCCACTGCATTCCAGCCTGGGTGATAGAGTGAAACCCTGTCTCAAAAAAAAATGAATAAATAACTGATGTTGATTATGAGCATCTATGGTCCAGGTATTCTTCTAAACTGTTTTTATGGATGATCCCATTTAATCCTCACATGAACGCTATGACTCAGGCACTCCTTTATCCCCATTTACAGAGGAGGGAACTGCAGAAGGGCTGGAAAACTTCCCAGTACTTGGTAGAACTTGAATGCAAACCCAGGTGTCTGATTCCAAATCGTGTCTTGTACCACTGCTTTCTCCTGCCTCCTGGCAGAAGAGAATGGAATAGAGATAGGACGCCTACCTGCAGAGGGGCCATTGCTCAGGAGATGATCTCCTGACATTCTTTGCAGGCCCAGGGTCCTTTCTTTTGCAGTTCTGCCTCAAGGTGGCTGTCATCGCCATCCCTGTGCCTGAGAGTGTTTTGTCACAGAAAACAAACTCCCGTCTCCCAGGCTCCCCCATACTCAGAGCTATGTGCCCCCGCCCCTTCTCCTTGATAAGCAACCATAAACTACAGAAAGTAAATCCAGGTGACCTCTGGCTCCTGACTGTAGCTTTGAAGACAACCAACTCAACCTCCTTCAGCTCCACCTTTCTGCCACCAAATAACAGAAACTCATCTCAGGTGCCATGTCTGTGTCAGGCTGAAGAAGAGGGAGGCCACATGGTATGGTCATGATCTAAGTGTGGCTCCTCAGACTGTTTGCAGCACCTCCTGGCCTCATGGTGAGCCACCAGCTAATGAGAACGAAAGCACAAGGATGAAATGTTAGAAAAGCACAGGATGTTATATGTTATCAAGATAGCCCTGGACGTCAGGGTTTTTTGTTATTGTTGTTGTTGTTGTTTTGTGGGTTTCTTTGACACTCACCACCAGGGAAAATGTCTGTGTTTAGCAGCTCCCATCACCAACAAAGAAAGTCCAAGCTTCTTAGTAGGATATCTCCTGCCATTTGTGTTCCAGTCTGTAGCTACCTCTCCAGTGTCACCATCCACTCCCTTCCTAGGACTTGATCCCTGATAAAATCAAACTCTGCACTTGTGCCTATGCCACTTCCTCTCTGCCTTGGACATTCCTCCACTTTTTCTATCTCCTTTGTTCTTTAAGAGTCAGGTCATGGCTGGGCACCATGGCTCACACCTGTAATCGCAGTACTTTGGGAGGCTGAGGCAGGAGGATCACTTGAGGCCACAAGTTTGAGACTAGCCTGGGCAATATAGCAAGACCCCATCTCTAAATGAATGAATGAGTCAGGTTATGCATCACCTCTCTAGGAAGCCCCTTTCCTGAGTCCCCAGTTAGGCTGGGCACCTGCCTGTGGAAGCCTGATCTGACCTCTGGCTTAGTGCTTATCACTTACTCTTGAGTTATCTATACATTTGTCTGTCTCCCCAGCCCTCAACTGTCAGTTCCTCAAGGACAAGGACAGTGACTTGATCATCTCTGAATATCCAGTGTTGGACCCATTGCTGGCGCCCAGAAAATGTCTATTGCCCTAAAATTCGCTGGACATTGTGACTATTCAGTTCAGGGGATTATGAGTTTCTTCTTTCTTTCAAATATTGCTTTAACATGTTTAATGTCGTTAAACAACAAAATTTAATTTAAATCACATAAGGAGACGACATTCCTGCTGGTGAGTGTGGGTCTTCTGAAAGCCTGCTGGGCTTAGGTAGTTAAGTCCACTGGGTGTGAGTCTACAGGGGCCTAGGCACATGTCTATAGTGCCCTGCACTCCTCTTAAGGTAGTAAAATAACTTCAGTCACCCACATTTGAGAAATGCCTGGTTTTGGTAATTTGCATTCTGCTTAGTGTAATTTTGTGATACTGAACAAATAAATTCCAAGCCACAGACCAGGCAGATATCTAAAGCGCTTTGCTAGCATTTTTCAACCAAAAAACCAAATTAGAGCATCATCTAGTTCTCCAACCACTTTTTGGCATCCCCTTAAATAACACGTTGTGTTTCAGTGCCGAATAAGAACACATTCATCAGTGTACGTCTGTGACTGAGAGCTTCATGGTTTTAACCAAGGCATGATTTGCAATGCCTTCCCCTGCTGCTGTCACACGCGGCACCTCATTTTCTTCCCCCTAGAAAGTGGCCTGGAACATTTAACAGATGAGTAGGCCTGGAGGGGTCCGTGCTTTGGCCGGGGTAATGTGGCAGAATGATCCTGGGGTTCCTCTCCCAGCGCCCAAGCAGTATTGCCCCTCACATTGCAGATTTCTGTACTAAAAGGGGAGAGCTCCAGGTTGCACAGCCACCCATATAAGTTTTTTCCCTAAGGAGACATCCCAGATGTGTTTTGTTTCTTATCTGCCACCCTGTGGTGAGGATGCTATGTCCTGACAGGGATGGCGCTGGTGGGCGGAGCAGCTTCCACCTCTCCCCAAGTCCCTCCCTGCCCTGCCCGGTCCCCAGCAGGCCCTGCACTCACTCCCCACTCCCACGCCGTCTCCCACACACCCGCCACTCAGCTGTTGCAAACTCGCATAATGTATTTCTCTCAAGTTGCACTTGTACATCTGTTTATTTTTCATTTTTAAAACATATTTTCTTGATAAATTTATAAATATTTTAGGAGGTGCCCTTTCCCGGTGTAAATCTCTCTTTCCGACACACATGCCCACGCCGCCTGCCAGATTGCATTCATGTTACGGCACATGCAGCTCCCGTGTCGGAGACCTGTTCCTTGTGCGTGTCGCATGCCTGCTCCTCCCTTTCTCCTCTTCATTTTCTCTCCCGTCCTCTTCTCCTGCCTGCGCTTGCAAAGGGTTGGTGAGAACTGACTTCATGCTGCTTCAGATGCCCCTTTTCTTCATCCACTTCATTGTGTGTGCCTCATGGAACCCCATCTCCTCCCCTCACCCTCACGCAATTTTTTTTTCTTTTTTTTGAGACAAAGTCTCGCTCTGTCGCCCAGACTGGAGTGCAGTGGTGCAATCTCGGCTCACTGCAACCTCCACCTCCCGGATTCAAGCAATTCTCATGTCCCAGCCGCCTAAGTAGCTGGGATTATAAGCACGCACCAACACACCCAGCTAATTTTTTGTATTTTTAGTAAAGACAGGGTTTCACCATGTTGGCCAGGCTGGTCTCGAACTCCTGACCTCAAGTGATCTGCCCATCTCAGCCGCAAAGTGCTGGGATTACAGGCATGACCCACCATGCCCAGCCCCCTTCTCACAAATGTTGATGGTAAAACCTTAATTAGTCTCCAGTCTGCTGCTGAAGTCACCTCTCTATTGGGATGGTGAATTTCAGTAACACAGGAGCATGTGTAGGATTTTGTTTAAGGAGAAGAACATCTCAGAACCTTGGGCTAGTACTCAAGGGTTCAGGCTCCATCCTTACTTCTCCCTTCCCAAGTCGGGGAGAATCGCTGCTCCAGACTGCACTTTTCCCAGCTGTCCTAGGGAGGGTCCCTCCTGTTCAGTCTGCTCTGCTACCAAGGCCAGAGAGCCTGCTGATACTGGGTTCTATATGAAACTCCGTATGTTAGGCAACGACAGGAAATTGTTGATGACTTTTTTTTTGTCTTTTTTTTTAATAAACTTTTTTTTGGTGCGGGGAGACAGGGTCTCACTGTATCACCCAGGGTGAGTGCTGTGGCACCATCTCGCTCACTGCAGCTTCCACCACCCGGGCACAAGTGATCCTCCCACCTCAGCCTCCCAAGAAGCTGAAACTACAGGCGTGTGCCACCACACCTGGCTAATTTTTGTATTTTTTGTAGAGAAGGGGTTTTGCCATGTTCCCCAAGCTGGTCTCAAACTCCTGAGCTCAAGCGATCCGCACAACTTGGCCTTCCATAGTGTTGGGATTATAGGTGGGAGCCACTGCACCCAGCCTGACTTACTTTTTTAGGAGCAGTTTTAGGTTCACAGCAAAACTGAACACACTATACAGAGAGTTTCCATATGGTCCTGTTCCCACACACACAGCCTCCCCCACTGTCAGCATCCCCCACAAAGTGGTACATGTGTTAGTCAATGAACCTACACTGACACATCATTATCACCCAAGTCCATAGTTTGCATTAGAGTTCACTCTCGGTGTTGCACGTTCTATGGTTTTGGACAAATGTATAATGACATGGATCCACCAGTATAGTGTCATACAGAGTGGCTTCACTGCCCCCAAATCCTCTGTGCTCCACCTGTTCAACCCCTTTTACCCCTAACAACCACAGATCTTTTTACTGCTTCCATAGTTTTGCTTTTTTCGAAATGTCATACGGTTGGAATGGTAGATTTTTGCCTTTCAAAAATGGCAACCTGATACATTTGGGGGAGATTTTCAGTCACAAGATTGGGACTGAGAGTTTTTCATTTAACTCTCTACAAACCCCAAATTCCAGGAAACCAAAACATGGACTCTGAAGTTTTCTGATTCGTGACGATTTTGCCGGTTGTTTGCCCGGGCCTTGGAGAGGGATGAAGAGATGTCCTGGGGAAGGTGTTGGCATCAGATGGAAGGTGTGGCAGAAGCCTGTGTCTGGGCCCCCTGAATATGTATCTTTAAGTTTCTAGAGCCTGACCTAGTCATTCTTGAGTTACATTATAATGGAGGATGCAAAACAAAGGCTGGAAAACCTGAAACGAGGCCTTCTGTCCTCCAGTTCAGGCTTGATCAACCCTTCTCTTTTTTTCTCTACTGTCCAGGTGTGTGAGAAAGAGAAACTGTTGTCAGAGAGGAATCAACTGAAAGCATGCATGGGGGAACTGTTGGACAACTTCTCCTGCCTTTCCCAGGAAGTTTGCCGAGACATCCAGAGCCCCGAGCAGATCCAGGCCCTGCATCGGTATTGCCCTGTCCTCAGACCCATGGACTTGCCCACGGCCTCCAGTATTAACCCTGCGCCCTTGGGTGCTGAGCAGAACATTGCGGCCTCCCAATGCGCAGTGGGGGAAAACGTGCCCTGCTGCTTGGAGCCAGGCGCGGCTCCCCCCGGACCCCCCTGGGCACCCAGCAACACCTCCGAGAATTGTACCTCTGGGAGGAGACTAGAAGGCACTGACCCGGGAACCTTCTCAGAGAGAGGACCTCCTCTTGAACCCAGGAGCCAAACAGTGACCGTGGACTTCTGCCAGGAAATGACTGATAAGTGTACAACTGACGAACAGCCCAGGAAAGATTATACCTAGTGACTCGGCTCTGCCTCCCAGTCCGCACACCTCTCCCATCCAGGCGTTCTTCAGTCAGCCTGTGGCACTGTTCATCTGCTGTCCCGAAGAAACCGAGAACACATTTGGTGCACACTACAGCGGTCTTAGCAGCAATACTGTTCCGAAGTATCCTCTCCTCTTCTCGAGCAGGAGTGATAGTTACCTTCACAATGGTGCTACCCCTTGCCCAGGCAAGGAAAGACAGCAGTGATGACACTGTCTGTCTGTGGCTCAATTTCAGTCTTCACAGGGATAGACTACAACACCTCTAGGCCCCAACCACGGATTTTTTTTCTCAGTGGCCCATGTCACAAACCCTATCTCAGGAATTTCTTCTGAATGTTCAATTTTTTTCATTGAAGACAGCTTCTATACACATCAAAGTTTTATAGCTAGACTGTACATATTATATATAATATATATATAAAATATATATATATATATATATATATCCATATGCAAAAGTCCTGCATGCCTCAACTTTCTCATCCTAAAACTGGAAACTTATTTCTCATTTAGAAACAGGTTCCAACATTCCTCTTCTTTTGTCTCTGATGCTAGAACTAGTTTGGTAACTGTTAACATGGTCATTTTTCTTGCTTCACAGTTCAATTTTCAATTCGTACTTATTTATGGACAAAATTCAGTGTTGGAAGCTTTTTCCCAAGGTTTTATTTCAGATTTCTTTTTCGTTTGGTTTGGTTTTGGCACCTCCAAGTGGTGTCATTTGAGCATTGTAGGTTTGTTTTTTGTTTGTTTGGGGGGTTTTGTTTGTTTTTGTTTTTGTTTTTGTTTTCCTTGCAGATACTGTACAGTAATGGTCAACTTTGCCACTTGCACTGAGTTTTGGGTCAAACCTATTTTCTTAAATGAAGTTGTAACTTCGGTATAACTCAAGTATACTGTATATTCTTTGCTTTTAGTTAAAAAAGTAAAACATTTTAGCTAATTAAAAAGCACTCAGGTGATAATTATGTAGGAAAAACAATCTTGCCAAATAATGAATTCATCCTAGGATGTGTAGACAATAATCTGCTTGAATATTTTTATATTTCACCTCCTCCCCACCTTTCCCTAAGCAAAGTTTAAACGCAGATAGAGAGTTCAGAGTTGATGCTGGATGTTCAGATTCCTAAGTGGGGAGAGAGTTTGGACATCTCACTCAAAAGTACATCAGAAAAACAGGAATCCGTGATTTTATACCAGAACTCAGCAGGCATTGGCTCCTAGAAATCAAGTTAGAAAGTTTTCACCCAGGGAGTAAGTCCCATTCATTTCAACACGTCCTGAGGCCTCGGCTTGCTCTTGGAAGTGTTGTGCAGTAGGACCTGCTCCCCTGAAGGACGGGGCCAACCAGCCACTGGCTTTCCTGCCCAGGCTTGGCCTCCCAGGACATCTGGCCTGAGGGGATTTGAATCACAGCCCCGAAGGTCCTGCCTTCACCCCATTGGGAGAGAGCAGGGCATCCTGGCATCTGCGATCCATCCCTGACACAGGCTGACACATTCTTTCTCCTTTCCTTCTCCAAAGGCTTGGAGTTTTCTTCTGAGGTTTTTCTGCCAGTGTCTTGTCTGAAGGCAGACTTCATTCTGAGGCTTTGGACAAGCTATCACCGGGAACCCTCCCTGTCCCCTTCCCGAATCACACACATACCCTACCCTCACCTGATGATAATTTTCTCTTCTTGCTGCAAAACTGGTTGGCTTGCAACCCAGAGAGAGCAGCTTCCCTTGGCTCTGGGGCCGTGTTGGCCCCAGCCACGTTTACAGGAAGGTGTGCCCCAGAGGAGGAGGAATCAGCTCCCTCGCTCCAGTGGCCTTGGGTCCGGGTCTCACTGAGCAGCCCGAGGGCCACTCCAGCCCGGCTGGGGAAGAGAGTCCTGAACGGTTTGATGTGGGGATGGGGTGGTGGGCAGTGGGGAATAGATGGTTGACTTTGTTTCTTTATTTGTGCCATTGTTTGGACAATATTAAAGCTGCATGTAAAAGGGGAAATTAGTATATGATGTAGGCTAAAAGTGAAATCATAGTAACATATGTTTTAGTATTATTAACTTTTTTCTGTACAAATATTAGCACTAAATGTTTAAATATGTATGAATGCCAGAAATTTGTCAGTTCATGCAGTAGGATAAAAAAAAAAAAAAAAAAAAAAAAAAGGCTTTTCTTTTTAAACAGTTCCACTTTTAAAACCTGCCTCTGGGTTTTTGTTTTTTCTTGTTTGTGTGTGTGTGTGTGTGTGTGTGTGTGTGTGTGTGTGTGTGTGTGTGTGTCTGAAACAGATCTTGATAAAGCTCTGTGTTGGAGCTGCTGGTTTTTGTTATGGTTGTTGGAATTTCTTGGCCTACTAGGACAGTTCTGTGCTTCACCATGAGGTTTGCCTTTGTGGAAAACTGGTGACAGTGAGAATATAAACTCAATGTGAATCACGTGATACTTCGCAGGCGTGTGTTACAGTGGAGTCAGCTGACAGTATTTTGCTTTTTAACTCTATTGTTGCCTTTCCAAGTGACCTCTCCTCTTCTTTTAAAAAAAGAACACTTTCTGCTCATATCATAACCAGGTCCAACCCAGCTTCTTGGCATGAGGTTTACCCTGGTAACAACTCATGTGCAACTGGTAGTCTTGACCACATTCCATCCATTTCCTCAGGTTTCTGTGGTTCAGTAGCCCAGACCTGTTTGGCAGCCATTTCTAGCAGGGGCGGGGCCTCTTTATTTCTCTCCACCCTAACTCAGACCTCACCTTCCTCCCACCCACCCCTGCCTTGCTTTTCTTCCTCTTCCCCCAACCTAACTTCTGCCATGGGAACTGGTTAAAAACACTGCTCTAAAAACCATCTTCCAATTTCATAGAGATTTCTCACAAGTTATTTCATTCATAATCCACCATGAACAGTGACTAGCTTCGTGCAGTTGTTCATGTGATGTGTGTGTGTCTTTTCCTATTCAGAACTATGTGCTTGTCAAAATTATTTCTGGGTTGATTCAAAGGGAGGACTTGCTGGGGACCAGAATCCAAACGGCCTCAAGTGGAATTTTAAAACCTAGCCTGTCTCTTTTCCCTGGGATCCCTCTGTCAACCCCACGCCTTTTAGGAAAAAGAAAAGTGAGTGAACAGCAAGGAAGAGTGTTTGCACAGTACAGTAACATTTGGTTGTTCTTAAGGCTCTTTTCTTACAAAAATAAGAGACCCTCCAACCACGGGCTGTTTAGGAGGATGCCTGCTTGGGTCTCCAAATGGCTGGGGTAGGAATGGTTGTTGGGGCAGAGCCAGTGGAGGTGAGTGACCCTGAGACTAATGAACATCCCACCTAAATCCAGTCCTCCCCTTGGATCTGCCTTTGTCCTGCTTGTGTATCCAGGCAACCTCTTTTCAAGTTGGTCAGGCTTTGGACAGGTGAGTGATTTGCTGTATGTGTTTGTTTCTCTGCGTTACCTGGGGGTGCCTTGATTAAAATCGAACTTTATTACATACTGATTCTGGAACAAAACAGTTAGAAAAACTTTAAAAAAAAAAAAACCGACAAAGTTACGAGGCCATCCTGCTATTTATCTTCTGAGTTCCCAGCAATGACTCAGGCATCAGAGATGATGCTGCAGTGGAAAACCTGACTCTGTGTGTCTGCAACTGAATGTTGTGCGAGTAATTTATTAACTGTCTTTCTAAAGGTTTGCTGCTTTTAAGATGCACTATAATTCGGGATGTAATCCTTACATTGCTTTTCCAAGGAAGGGAACAAAAGTCTAGTGATTAGTATGCCAACTGCCACTACTCCTTCAAAAGGAGCCAGGACCAGCGACAAGACTCATGAGAGGACTGGCTAAAGTGAAGTGTGCACAGTGTGAAGTTTAATGCTGTTGTCAAGAGGCCTAAACCCACATTTTCTCTTTTAATATTTTATGATTGCCATCAAAGAAGAAGAAAAAGAAGGAACAGACAAAGGTTTGAAAATGATAAGCCTGTTAAGACACCAAAAACTCCTGTCCCGTGAAGCTGCTTGACATCCTGTGGAGTAGCATAATCCTCTCAAAATGAGGAAGAGCTGCCTGCAAAGCTTTCTCAAGTCCCTATTTGGCTACCTACTTCTCTACATTATGCCCCATTTAAACTAGGAGCTGTCTTAGAAATGACTTCAAACTGCTTCACTATTGCTTACAGTTTAGGAGGAGTCTCAGATCCAGAAGGAGCAAGAATCAAGTTTGGTCCTCAAATGACTGTAAATAGACTAAAGAACAAGGTGTTTTTTGTTTTTGTTTTTGTTTTCTAAGAATAAAGCTGTTCGTTGTATCATGAGTTAGTGTTTCTTCCCCAAACTGAAGACTGTGTTGGAAGTGCAATTTCTGGTGAGTCAGTCCACAATACAATGCCCTGTGTGGAGTTGGTATTCATACAGGAAATCTGTGTGCACGAGGCATTGTGTGTTGAAAGTGTATGTTTATAGTACTGCCTGAGCCATCTCATGACCCCAGCGTCCAAAACCGATGCTGTAGAACAGAACATATCTGTACACAAATAGTGTGTGCAAATAGCATTTGTACATAGAAAAGTCTCATTGTGGCAGATTGAGCATAAATTATTCAACTGACGGTGCAAAAACATTACTTGCAAAGAAAAGTTTATAGTATTTTCCTACACTCCACCCTGGGAGATGATATTTCTATCAAATGAATATCAGTGCATTTTAAATGTAATATGAAAACGATGCTGCCATTTTGTGAAGAATACCCACTTGGTTGCAGAGGCCAACTTTCATAGCTTTGATTTAATGTTGTGACACGGTGTATGCATTTTGCTGTCAAGCAATGGATAAACAGCTCTGACTTTCATTCTCATTCCAGTTTATTGACCTCAGATAAAACACTGGCCCTTCTTAGAAGCAGAAGTGTGCACCAAGACCATTCATTTCAGGTAGACTCACATTCAGTGCCAAGTGCTCCCATGGGAATAATCAGACGCATATGTTGCGAAAGAGTGAAGGGACTTGGACAAAGAGGGGTTTTCCTACAGATGGATGCTCAGTCTTCTACCAAAACATGTTTGGAGGCAGAACTATGACCTCCCCTTAAGTCCTAACAATGTATTTTGTGTGTGCAAATCCTGGGATGCCCGTTTCACGCTCTGACATAAAGACATGGCACCTCTAGTGAGTGATCAGGAAGATTCCATATGCATTTGGGAGCTTCAGGTGCTTGTTAGACACAGTGAGCCATTCAAGGCAAGCACCACCTTTGCTAGTGAGGCCAAGAGAGCCTGTGACAATTTGACAATTTGTTCCAGAACCAGTCTGATGCAAGTGCACCTCTAATATATGCCTTACAAACTCCAGAGGCCATATTCAAAACAGGGTCTTCTCAGTGTATGCAAGGGGCTGCAGCCCCTCTTCTCTTCCTCCCCAGGTTGAACAATACGGACAGTTTTCACACATATCTACCTGTATAACCCTCTGTACCTCTCATAACTGGTCAACGACTGTAACAGGTTACATCAGGTGTTTTTCTACATACTTTTTACACAGATTCTATGCGATTAATGTAATTTAATTCAATGCATCATTTTATTGTACTAGTTCTTAGGCTTGTCCTTATTTTTTTCTAAGTGATTGTGGTTTTTCTCGTGGTTTTTATTGTAAAAAATGAAAGGCTGTTGATGCTTATTCTCTGTAACTAAGAATTTTTACCTTTTGGGGGAAAAAAGCATTGCTATGAACTAATGAATTGAAACTTCATTTACTCATTGTAAATACACTATTGTGCAAAAAAAGTTTTCACTCAATTGAATTGCTAGTGTTAACTGAATTTTGTCTAGACACCATTTCTGTTGATGAAATAAAGACATATCATTATGCATTGTAAACTGATTTTCTCTGCCTCTGATCCCTATGTTCCAAATTACAGAGTGAGAAACCTCAGGAAATCTTTTTTCCTAGAGGCCATTTCTCTTCCTCTAGTTTGGACCCTTACTTGCTACCTGATTAATCTGATTAGGAATCTTTAAAATTGGATAATATTAATGTGATTCCTAAACTCTGAATTTTAAAAATCCCTAGTGCCTGTGAGAGTAGATAAAAGGCTTTAAACCCAATTTCTCGGTTTTGATATTGTGCTATCGCTATGCAGAATGTTACCACGGGAGAAAACTGGGTGATGGGTATCATTTCTTGCAACTGCATGTGAATCTGCAATTATATCCAAAATAGGCTGAATTTTTTAAAAACTAAATGAAAGTAAATGAGAAAGAACATTAAGCCAACACCAAGATGCAGTGAGTTGCAAGGAAAGATGTTTAGAATTGTGGTTGAGGAATCCATACAGTCATGCATTGGTTAGTGAAGGGGGTACGTTGTGAGAAATGCATCCTTACGCAATTTCCTATTGTGAGAACATCAGGGTGTGCCACACCAACCTAGATGAGAAAGCCTATGACACACCTAGACTAGATGTTCCTAGATTGCAAACTTGTGCAGCATGTAACTGTACTGGATATGGTAGGCAATTGTAACACCAGGGTAAGTAGTTGTGTATCTTAACATAGAAAAGTTGCAGTAAAAATAGGGTTTACAATCTTATGGAACCGCTGTCATATATTCGTCCCATCATTGACCAAAACATGGTTATGCCATGCATGACTGTACAGTTTAAAAGTTGTATTCTAAAAGTGTATTTGATAGTTATGTCTTCGATTTTGATGTAAAGAGAAAACAAGATATCAAATGGTGGGCAGGTCGAGTGACCATGAGCGAACACTGGACTGGAGCTCGGAGGTGAGAGAAAGCCACTAGAGCAGAGCAGGGGGGTCTGAGCTGTCAGCGAGGCTGTAACCAGTGCATGCGCATGGTATCCGGGCAGGGCAGGGCTGTGCTGCCGAGATTCACGCTTCAAGGAGTGCATGCGACCGCCAGATGGGAAAACGGAAATTAAAAACTGCCAAGTTCTGCTCCCTCGGGCGAGTCTCCATGGGCACCTATGGAGTCAAGGAAGGCTTCCTGAGAGCAGGTCATGGGTTTTGCAAATGTGTGCTGCTGTGACAACGTCGCAGTCATAACATTTTCGGTACAAGAGGCGGATTACCTACGCCTGAAGATGTGAAGTTAATCCACTCTGAGAAAAACAGGTGGGTCAGAGTCCCAAAATTTTCTGTGGGAAAACCTGGTAATTTAGAACTGATGGTCATGTGCACCTTCAACCCTGACATCTGCTCTTGTGATACAAATAATGGTCATGCATTGAAGGAAAATAAACCTCACCAGCTGTTGCGTCCTGCAAAACAGGCGTCCCCGACCCCTGGGCCGCAGACTGGTTCCGGTCCATGACCTGTTAGGAACAGGCCGCACAGCAAGAGGTGAGCAGCTGGGGAGTGAACATTACTGCCTGAGCTCCACCTCCTGCCCCATCAGCGGTGGCACTGGATTCCCATAGGAGCGCGAACCCTACTGTGAACGGTGCATGTGCGGGATCTGGGTTGCAGCTCCTTATGAGACTCTAATGCCTGATGATCTGAGGTGGAACGGTGTCATCCCGAAAACATCCCCCCACCCCCGCTGCCTCTGGTCCGTGGAAAATTTGTCTTCCACGATACCAGTCCCTGGTGCCAAAAAGGTTGGGAATCGCGGCTACAAAAGAGCTTTTAAGCACTGTCCAGCCCCAGGTGGACAGCAGCCATTTTCTTTCCTACTTTACATGTGCTTCTTATGGGAAATTTGTATCTGCCTCTGGGGCAGTGAGGACAGGTTCCTTCTACACCAGGCCCTGCCAGCAGTTTTGTTGTATGTATTTGGAAATAACTGAGCTGTTCTTTGAAATCATTTTAGAGTCTTTCACTCTTCTCCAACCCACCACCTCACCCAACTCTGCCCCACCACTTGGGATGCATTAGCAAGATTGTACTTAATGTTTAACAGCAGCTGGTGAAGGTGCCGTGAGCAGAAATGGGTTTCCAATTCTCCTCACTGAGCACCTATGCCTTCGTGGTACAAGTGAACACAATACTTCCTGGTGTCAAAAAATCAAGGCCCAAAGAGATGGAGAAAGCCACACATCCCATTACGCAAGTGTCTTTCATTTCACTCAAGAGCATGACGCCTTCTGTCTCCACACCCGTCCCTGGTTCCTGCAGATCCTGACACACATCTGCCACTGGCCTGCTTAGCCACAAAGAGGCATTGCTGATTCTCCATGGCTAGTTCTTACTCTTTCTTCTTGAAGATAAGTGCATCCCTGAGACAGTGCCCTTCATCCCGAAGCAGTGAATGGAAACCTTCAGAGACATGCTAGCAGTCACTGGAAACATTACATTTTACACTGGGCCCTTCAGACTTTGTTTTTTCTTCTTTGTAGAGACAAGGCCTTGCTATGTTGCCCAGGCTGGAGTGCAATGGCTATTCACAGGCATCATCATAGTGCGCCGCAGCTGTGAACTCCTGGCCGCAAGAATCCTCTCACCTCGGCCTCCCAAGTAGCTGGGACTACAGGTGGGCCACCAGGCCCAGCTCAAACTTGTTTTTGTTGTTGTGTTGTTTTGAGACGTGCTCTGTTGCCAGGCTGGAGTGCAGTGGTCCAATCTTGGCTCACTGCAACTTCCGTCTCCCAAGTTCATGCGATTGTCCTGCCTCAGCCTCCCAAGTAGCTGGGACTACAGGCGCACACCACCACACCCAGCTAATTTTTGTATTTTTAGTAGAGACGTGGTTTCGCCATGTTGGCCAGGATGGTCTCGCTCTCTTGGCCTCATGATCCCCACACCTCGGCCTCCCAAAGTTCTGGGATTACAGGCGTGAGCCACCACACCCAGCCTCAAACTTGTTTTTTAAAACCTCCATTTGTGCTGTGTTTTTGACAACCCTGTAAAGACTTTTCAGAGTGAAAGAAATTGAAATTACAAAAAAAGTTGCCATAGAGGCCTCTGAAACCTATTGACAAACTTATTGACACAACATGACAGAAAGTGAATAAGAAATAAAGACTGGAAAATTGGAAGCAATGGGTAAGGTATTGCCTTTGGTGTTTATACATAAATATATATTTATTCAACCAACACTGTGTTACATGCTAAGCATCCAAGATGTCAAATACCTTACCCTTACAGCTTTCACAGGCTAGTTGGGCAGAGAGATGTACAAATAAATCATTGCCCAGGGGCTGCTGACTTTTACAGAAAGGAGAACAAGGATTTCTGAAAGGACTGTGGGCCTCAGAGCAGCTGGATATGGATTTGAATTCCAGCAGGCACTTCAGCCGTGTAATCTTTAACTGTGGAGAAAATCTCTTTGAGCCTTGTCTGATCTATAAGATGAAAATGAACAATAACAACTTGACAAGTTGTACAAGGTATAGATAATGTGAGCACGTGGAATATAGTATGCCCCTTAAAAAGGCACATTTTGGGGGCCGGTCATGGTAGCTCACACCTGTAATCTATGTAAGTGCTATGGGGGCGCTGAGGCAGGAGGATCACTTGCAGCCAGGAGTTCCAGACTAGCCTGGGCAACATAGCAAGTCCTCATTTTTACAAAAAAAAAAAATTGTTTTTAATTAGCTGGGAGTGGTGGTGCACCTCTATAGTGCCAGTTAGTGGGAAGGCTGAGGTAGGAGAATTGCTTGAACCCGGGAGGCAGAGGTTGCAGTGAGCCAAGATCACACCACTGCACTCTAGCCTGGGCAACAGAGCGAGACCTGTCTTTTAAAAAAAACAAAAACAAAAACAAAAACCCTATCATCTACCCCCCCACCGTTACTATAATTACAGGGCTGCCACAAAGAAAGGCATGGTGAGTGAATGGGGTTGGCCGAGAAGATATGTTGGAACTGCCTCCATAAAAATAATGAGTCCCCAAAAGGCAGCCACAGGATAGGTGGACACTGTCCAGCAGCAGACTGCTGGGTGGGCAACAGCAGGTAGGAGCGGCAGAGCTGCCACAGCTGGGCTACAAGTGAGAAGCGGGGAATGAGGTCAGAGGCAGGGGCCAGTGCCTGAATTTCCTGTGGCTTTTATCTCATAGGACATAGATGATGCCGAGCCTTATAACTTTCAACCAAATTGATTCTCCTTATAACCTGAAGCCTTTATTATCAAGTGTGTGGCCAGGGTTGGGGGCCACTCTGGCCATGGGGTGGAGGACGGGGAAGCTAAGAGGCTCTTTCCATGGGAATTGAGTCCACCTTTATGGCTCTAAAAACTCAGGGTTGGGCGCAGTGGCTCACGCCTGTAATCCCAGCACTTTGGGAAGCCGAGATGGGCGGATCACCCGAGGTCAGGAGTTCAAGACCAGCCTCGCTACCACAAGGCTAAAAATACAAAAACACAAAAATTAGCCGGGCTTGGTGGTGGGCACCTGTAATCCCCGCTACTTGGGAGGCTGAGGCAGGAGAATGGCTTGAACCCAGGAGGCGGAGGTTGCAGTGAGCCAAGATCGGCCAAGTAGCAACCCGCGGAGCAGCCTCATGGGTTGGCCAGTCAGTGCACATCACAGAGCACTCTCCCGGATGACTCAGGACCACTCGGAGGGCGGGCAGGGTGAGGAAGAGGTGCTGGCTTCTACCACTCCCAGGAAGCTCCTGCAGGGGCACAATCATGGCATCACCACTACTCATGAATCATCCCAGAGGGATACAAAAAAGGCATGCGAGTGTTTGCCAGTGTTTTAATCAATATTTTATTTCCATGCCATTGATGAATTAAAAATCCAACTGGTTCATCCTCAAGAAATGAACTGGTGAGAGGAAAAGCCTGAAAAGTTTCTTGTCAACCTCTCCTTTATAGACAGGAAGCACATCTGACCTCAGGCTGAGCACAAAGCTCCAGTCCTGCTCTGGACCCATGTTTAAGGGGCCAACTGCTACTGTTGCTGCCACTGCAGAGCTGGGGTACTGTCTTGCAAAATATCCCACTAGGCTGTGCTGGGACTGGGGAAGAGGTGACATATACCAATCCTCCTCCTCGAGGCAGAGCCGCTCTTGTCCCTAGATCTCCTCTGACGGTGTACAGCTCCTCCCTGCCCGAGCATCAGACCTCCCTCAAGCAGTGTGCCCAGGCAGGGTGAGAACCTGTCCCCAGCCCCCATAAGGGAAGGGTCTCCTGTGGAAGTGAGCCCAGGCTGGGAGCACCCTGAACAGGGCCCTTCGCCTGGTGGGTGTCTGTAGAGGGTGTGGGTCCCAAAGCGCTTCCTGCAGTTTGAGCTGACAAAGGCACAACTCTCCTCCTGCAGGTACCAGCTGCTCCTGATGCATTATTTTTTCATAATAGATGAAAGTTCTAGAAGCATGTTCTGAAAGAGATAGGAAACCAAAAAACAAAACAGACTCAAACAACTTGTAAGAGTCAGCCCTACCCACCCACCTGGGATTCTATATATGTCAAAAATCCTGGGGATCAAAGAGCTGCTGCAGACGGCAGCTGTCCCTGTGTTTCCCCACAGGTGAACGTCCATGTAAGAGGTGGTGCTCAATAGCATTACAGTGAAAACTCTGGATCCTTCCTGCTGCCTCCTCTGCCTGTTGTGGTTTTTGTTGTTTTGTGCAAAAATTCAGGCCTAAAACTAAAAAGTCAATTTGTTCCTAAGCTTCATCTTAGTCCCCTGAAAATTAGCCGGATTTTTTTGACTTTACATAATATGGAAAGCGAAAACTAATTCAAATACAGAATTGTCTATTTTATAACAGTCTATCTCTGATGCTAAAAATATGCTAAACTCAGGAGGCCATGTGCCGGGAGAGCAAGGGGCAGCCATGGGTGTAGGAACAGGAGCTTGGGTTGAGTCAGACGCTGAGGGTCCAATTCCAGCTCACTTGCTCATCCAATAAATATCAATTCATCCCCTGCTTTGTCCCAAGGACTGTGTTTCACACAACCTAATTGTGTGACTTAGGACAAGTCACCATTTTTTTTTTTTTTTTTGAGACGGAGTCTCGCTCAGTCGCTAGGCTGGAGTATAGTGGCGTGATCTCGGCTCGCTGCAACCTCCGCCTCCCGGGTTCAAGTGATTCTCCTGCCTCAACCTCCGGAGTAGCTGGGACTACAGGCGCGCACCACCACACCCAGCTAAGTTTTGTATTTTTAGTAGAGACGGGGTTTCACCATGTTGGCCAGGATGGTCTTGATCTGTTGACATCGTGATCCGCCCGCTTCGGCCTCCCAAAGTGCAGGGATTACATGCGTGAGCCTCCGTGCCTGGCCGCAAGTCACCTATTTCCTTATCTGTAAAATGGAAATTAGCACGTGGCTACAGAGAGGAAGTCCACAGTGTGTCCAGACTATGATCCAGCCCTCAATAAAGTGGTGTCCTTCCTCATCTTCTTCACATTCTTTGGTAATTGTTAAATTGTGTAAAACTTCTCAGCCAAAAGGTTCAATAAATTATAACAATCCACCCTCCAAATATCCACCTCATAATCCTTGTTAATAATGTTGAGTTGGGCTGGGCACAGTGGCTCATGCCTGTAATCCCAGAACTTTGGAAGGCCGAGGCAGGAGGATCGTTTGAGCCCTGGAGTTCAAAGCTGCAGTGAATGAGGCCACTGCACTCCAGCCTGGGGGACAGAGTGAGATCCTATCTCTAAAAAAATTAAAGTAAAATAAATAATAATGTTGAGTTGAAAAATACCTTCCCAAACGAGACAAAGAACCTAGAAGGCAAAGAGATTTTTCATACTAAATATAAAATTACAAGTTTAAAGATGTCATAAACAGGGAAAAAAGACAAGCAGACTGGGAAAAAAGATCTTTCAATGTCTATATAGACAAGAGGTTAATATAATACCATACAAGAGCTCCTAGAAATCAGAAGAACAATAAATATCCCAACAGAAAAATAAACAATGACAATTCATGGTAGAAATACAGATAGCCAATAAACATATGAACGACCTTAGTAGTAATCACAGAAATGTAAAATAAAACAAAGAGAAATATTTTTAGTTCATCAGATGGGGAAGGGAGTAAGATAATGTCTGCTGTTGGCAAGAGTATGAGAAAATGGGTGCTATGCTGGTGAGAGGTTAGTTGGAATAGCCCTTCCTGAGCAAAAATTGGCAGCATGTATCAAAACGAAATGTAGCCAGGTCTGGTGGCTCATGCCTGTATTCCCAGTGCTTTGGGAGACCAAAGTGAGAGGACAGCTTGGGCCCAGGAAGTCGAGACTACAGTGAACTATGATTGCACCACTGCACTCCAGCTTGGGCGACAGAGCAAGACCATGCCTCTAAAAAAAAAAAACCAAAATGAGCTGGGCACAATGGTTCATGCCTGTAATCCAAGCACTTTGGGAGGCCAAGGTGGGGGGATCACTTGAGGTCAGGAGTTTGAGACCAGCCTGGCCAACATGGAGAAACCCCACCTCTACTGAAAATACAAAAATCAGCCGGGTATGGTGGTGCATGCCTGTAATCCCATCTACTCAGGAGTCTGAGGCAGAAGAATCACTTCAACCCAGGAGGCAGAGGTTGCAGTGAGCCAAGATCGTGCCATTGCACTCCAGCCTGGGTGAGAGAGTAAGACTCTGTCTCAAAAATACACACACACACAAAACACACACACAAAAAAGTGTGCATGTCCATTAAAACCAACAACTCCATTTCTAGGTACCTATCAAAGATACATGCAGGAAACATTAAATGCAACATTGTAGTAGGAAAAAAAGAAACAGCCTAAATGGCCATCAGATATCTATGGTTCATCATACCATGGAAAAGTACGAGCTGAGATAAACACCAAGGCAACTCTATAGGGACTGACAAAGATGCTTGAGATAGATCATTAAGTGAGCAAGAGCAAACTGCAGAGACATTTCCAGAGTATGGTCACATTTATATTTTAAAAAACAAACAATAGGCTGGGGGGCTTCAAGAAGGCTGACTGCATGCATATGGTACTCGCCTCTTCCATAAAAAGGAACCAAAATAGCAAGTAGATAATCACACTTCAAACAGATCATCTAAGAGAGAGCACTGGAATTCAACAGAGGAATGGGAAACACCAAAAGCAAGGAAGGAGAGGGAAGCAAAACAGCCTGCTCATCCAGGATTGGCTGGGATCCTGGAGAGGCCCCTTGAAGTGGGGAAAGGGTAAGTGAGAGACCCCCAGCAATCTACATTTCCACCACAGACTCTTAGCTGTAGGAGAGCCCCTCAACCTTCAACCCCAAGGGCCCTGAGACTAAGGTAGGGAGCTGCCTGGAAACTGAACGGCAGCACTGCTGCAGAGAGGGAGCTCATGCTGTGTTCCACACACTACCAAGCCCTAAGCAGCAGCAGCATGGCACCATTTTAAGAGCCCAGCCCCCTCCACACTGGGGCTAGGCAGGAGCCACTGACAACAACCACCCAACTGCACCCCCAGCACAGAGGCAGCCAGGCATTTTCACATGCCCTGAGGACAAATTCCACTGCCTGCAATGGCAGCGCTGTGAACTGCTACGGTGCCCCAGCTGCTCTCACTGAAAGCAACCCTGGCCTCCCCAGTAGCAGGGCCACAGTGCAATTGCTGCTGTCCCTACCTGAGCATTCCACTGGCAGCCTGGGGATCACCCCACCCCTGTCTATCACAGCCAGCACCTGCACATATCACCAGGGGGCCTGAGGGCAGGTCTACCCAGCCCAGCTCTAACCCTCAGCCCAGTACCTGAGTATTCCATCCCAGGGTGTGGAAGTTGCCCAGCCCAGTCCACCACCACTGACACCTAAGCATTCCTCCCATAGTCTCTGGTCAGGCCCACCCAATCTCCCATTACCACTAGAGCTGGCACCCACCCACATATACCACCTATAGGCCTAGGGACTGGCCTTCCCAGACCATTGCAGCCACCACCAACACCAGTGCAGACCACTTGGATCCCTAAGAGTTATCCCACCACTGCAATTGCCATCATCCACACCAGGCCTGCTGCTAAGGGGCTCAAGAACCTGCCCACCCACCTAGCCCATTGCTGCTATTCCCGCCACCCAAGCAAGCCACCTGGAGGCCCAAGAATTGGCCTGATTGGACACACTAATACCTGTGCCGGCATAAGCAACGCTGGGGTGCAAGAACAGGCACGCCCAGCCCACTGCTGTCACCACTGGGGCCTAAAGACTGGCCCACCTACTGGCCTAGCCCACCTACTGGCCTAGCCCACAGCCAAACTTCAACATAGCCTCCACTAATAATCACACCATGAGCCACCAAGAAAATCACAGGCAACACTGACACTGTTTACAGCCGAAGAAATCATACAGAGACTACTCCAGCGCATGCACCAAGAATCAAAGTGCCCTACCCAAACAACCACAGATACATCTTCAGGAAAAAGTCTCCCCTATGAAAGCAAATTCAAAGACTAGAAAAAGCAACTTTTACAACAGATGCACAGATACCCATGTAAGGACACAAGAAACACGAAAAAGCAAACAAATATGACACCTCCAAAGGAACACAATAATTCTCCAGTAACAAATCCCAATCAAAAAGAAATTTATGAAATCTCAGAAAAAGAATTCAAAATATTGACATTAAGAAGCTCAGTGAAATATAAGAGAATACTGAAAAACAATACAAAGAAATCAGAAAAAGAATGCAAGATACAAATGAGAAGTTTACTAAAGATATAGACATCATAAAAAACAACCAAAAATTCTTGAACTGAAGAACTCATTGAATGAAACACAGAATACATTCAAAAGCTTCAACAATAGACTAGATCAAGCAGAAGAAAGAAACTTAGAACTTGCAGGCAGGTCTTTTGAAATAACCCAGTCAGACAAAAATAAAGAAAAAATACTTTTAAAAAATGAGCGAAGTCCATGTGATATATAGGACACCAATAAAGTGACAAAATGTTCATATTTTCAATGTCCCCAGAAGGTGAAGGGGTAATGAAAACATTAGAAAACCTATTTAACAAAATAATACATGAAAACTTCCCAAATCTAGCAAAAGATTTAAACATCCAGATTCAGGAAGCCCAGAGATCCCCAAATAGATACAATTCAAGAAGGTGTTCTCCATGGCACACTATAGTCAAACAGCCAAAAGTCAAAGACAAAGAGAGAATTCTAAAAACAGCAAGAGAAAAGTGTCTAGCACTTACAAAGGAACCCCCATCAGACTAATGGCAGATTTCTCAGCAGAAACCTTACAAGCAAGGAGAGAACAGGACGATACAGTCAAAGTGCTGAAAGAAAAAAACTGCCAGCAGGCCAAGTGCGGTGGCTTGCACCTGTAATCCAAGCACTTTGGGAGGCCAAGGTGGGTGAACTACTTGAGTTCACAAGTTTGAGACCAGCCTGGGCAACATGGGGAGACCCCATCTCTACAAAAACATGCAAAAATTAGCCAGGCCTGGTGGCACATGCCTGTAGTCCCAGCTACTCAAGAGGCTGAGATGGGGGGATGGCTTGGGCCCAGCAAGGCCACGGTTGCAGTGGGCCGAGATGGCACCACTGCACTCCAGCCTGGGTGAGAGAGTCAGACCTTGTCTTGAACAAAAACAAAAACAAAAACAAAACAAAACAAAATGTCAACCAGAGATACCATACCTGGCAAAGATATTCTTCATAAATGAAGGAGGAATAAAGTCTTTCCTGGACAAGCAAAAGCTGAGGGAATTCATCACCCCTAGACTTTCCCTATAGAACTGCTTAAGATAGTCCCATACCAAAAAGTGAAAGAATAATATGAAAATCATGAAAATGTAAATACCACTGGTCAAGCAAGCACACAAACAAGGAAGAGAAAAGACTCAAATGTTACCACTACAGAATACCACCAAACCACAATGATAAACAATAAGAAAGGAACAAAGGATATACAAAACAACCAGAACTTAATTAATAAAATGACAAGAATAAGCCCTCACATATCAATAATAACCTTGAGTGTAACAGATTAAACTTTCTACTTAAAAGATACAGAATGGCTGAATGTATTTTAAAAACATGACCCAACTATATGCTGCCTAAAGAAACTCATGTCACAGTTGAGATGATACACATAGACTGAAAGTAGAGGGATGGAAAAAAGATATTCCATGTAAATGGAAACCAAAAGTAAGCAGGAGTAGCTATGTTTATGGCTGATAAAATATATTTTAAGTGAAAACAGTAAAAAGAGACAAAGAAAGTCATTATATAATGATAAAGGGATCAACTGCAAGAGCATGTAACAATTCTAAATATATATGCATCCAACACAGGAGCACCCAAATACATAAATCAAATATTATTAGATTTTAAAAGAAAGGGAGATAGACTCCAATACAGTATTAGTTGGAGAATTCAACACCCCACTCTCAGTATTAGACAAATAATCTAGACAGAAAATTAATGAAGAAACATTGGATTTAAGCTTAACATTAGACCAAATGGACCTCACAGACATTTATATAACAGACATTTCATCCACCAGCTACAGAATACACATTTTTCTTATCAGCACATGGAATATTTTCCAGGATAAACCATATTTTAGAACACAAAGTAAGTCTCAACAAATTTTTCAAATATCTAGTATCGTCTCAGACCACAGTGGAATAAAATAGAAATTATTTAACAATAACAAGAGGAACTTTGGAAACTATATAAATACATGGAAATTAAACAAAATGCTCCTGAATGAGCAAAGGGTCAAGGAAGAAATTAAGGAGAAAATTAAAAAGTTTTTGAAACAAATGAAAATGGAAACACAGCATACCAAAACCTTTGGAATTCAACAAAAGCAGTGCTAAGAGGGAAGTTTATAGCAATAAACACTTACATTAAAAAGTAGAAAGGTTTTAAATAACCTAATGATGCACTTCAAGGAACTGGAAAAGCAAGAACAAATGAAACCCAAAATTAGTAGAAGGAAAGACATAATAAACATCAGAGCAGTGGGCCATGCACACTGCTGTAATCCTAGTACTTCAGGGGGCTAAGGCAAGAGGATCACCTGAGACCAGTTCAAGACCAATCTGGTCACATAGCAAGACTCCATCTCTACAATAAATTAAAATTAATCAGGCATTGTGGCGCAACCCTGTAATCCCAGCTACTCAGAAGGCTGAGATGGAAAGGTTGCTTGAGCCCAGGAATTCAAGGTTATAGTGAGGTATGATCATACTACTGCACTCTGGATGACAAAGCAAGACTTTCTGTAAAAGCAAAAACAAAACAAAACAAAAACCCATCACTAATCATCAGTGAAATGCAAATCAAAACCACAATGAGATATCATCTTACCCCAATTAGAATGGCTACTATTAAAAAAACAGAAAACAAACAAATAGATGCTGGTGAGGATGTGGAAAAAAGGGAACTTTTATACACGTTGGCAGGATTGTAAATTAGTATGGCCGCTATGGAAAACAGTATGGAGGTTTCTCAAAAACCTTAAAGCACAGCTACCATATGATCCAGCAGCCCCACTACTGGATAGTTATCCAAAGGAAATCAAAAGGATACCTGCACTCCCATGTTTATCGCAGCACTATTCACAATATGAAATCAACCCAAGTGTCCATCAACAGACAAATGAATAAAGAAAATGTGGTATATGTACACAATGGAATACTATCTGACCATAAAAAAGAATAAAATCATGTTATTTGCAGAAACATGGGTGGAACTGGAGGTCATTATGTTAAGTGAAATAAGGCAGGCACAGAAAGGTAAATATCACGTTCTCACTCAGGTAAGAGCTATAAACGTTGATGTCATTGAGGTAGAGAGTGGAATGATAGATACCAGAGGCTGGAAAGGGTATGTGGGTGGGAGGGGGGTGAAGACAGATTGGTCAACAGGTATACACATACAGTTAGATAGAAAGTTCTAATGTCTGATAGCAGAGCAGGGTGACTATACAATGTATTATATAATTCCAAGTAGCTAAAAGAGAGAACTTGAAATGTTTCCAACACATAGAAATGATAACTATTCAAGGTGATGGATACCGCAATACCCTGAAATGATCATTATACATTCTATGATGCAACAAAATATCACATGTGCCTCATGAATATGTAAAACATTACATATCACTTAAAAATATTTTTTAATAAAAATAAAAAACAGGCTGGGCGCAGTGGCTCACGCCTGTAATCCCAGCACTTTGGGAGGCCAAATCACTTGAGGCCAGGAGTTCGATACCAGCCTGGACAACACGGTGAAAGCTCATCTCTACTAAAAATACAAAAATTAGCCAGGCATGGTGGCAGGTGCCTGTAATCCCAGCTACCTGGGAGGCTGAGACAGGAGAATTGCTTGAAACCTGGAGGCAGAGGTTGCAGTGAGCCGAGATAGGGCCACTGCACTCCAGCCTGGGTAACAGAGCAAGACTCTGTCTCTAAATAAATAAATAAAATAAAATAACAAACAATAAATATGCGTGGACATATATTTGTCTTCAAGGATTGATTATGAAGGCACTGAGGAAAGTACCAGTGACACACCCTATGGTGTTCACAGAGGACAGAGGCTGCCTTGGGGGAAAAAAGTAGAGGTTGAGTCCAGATGAGAACAAGAGGAGACGAACTTTCCCATGGTCAGGTTCACATTTTACTCTATGTTATTTTATATTGTTTGAGTTTATTTAAATTAGCATGTATTACTTTAATTTGAAAAACAATAATTCTTTTAAAAACTGTCGTTCTTCCAAATCAGTAAGAGTTGTACCCCTGGTCTGAGCCACCCTCATAGCTCACTGAACCACTGCACAGTCTCCTACCTGATCTCCCTTATTCTACTCTTACCCCTACAATTGATTCTCCAAAAAGAGTGATTGGTTTTTATAACATATGTATCAGCCCATGACTATCCCTGTGCTATCCAACTCAAATTTCTATTCACGGTCTCAAAGGCCTACACATCAGGACCCTGCCCATTCCAACCTCATCCCTATCCCTCCCCTTCCTGGTCACCGCCACAAGAGTGATCTCCTTCTGTAGTTCCAGAGAGCCGAGGACCTTTGCACTTACCGGTCCCTCTGCCTGAGAGGCCCCATCCACCCAGGACTTCAGCACCTTTTCAAGAGCCCACCTCTGATAACCTCATCTAAAGTAATACCATCTACTTCCCAGTGTCCCTTTGTCCACATCACTGTGTTGTTTTCTCCTAGCACCTAAAACTATGTGAAGTTGCTTTAAATATTTGTTTATTTTTCTCTACTGTGAGAAAAGGGACTGTGTTGTCCTGTGAGCTGTTATATCCCAGCACCCAGCATCCAGTGCCTGGTACCTAGTAAGCATTCAAAAAACACTTCACGGGCCAGGCTCACACTTGTAATACCAGCACTTTGGGAGGTCGAGGTGGGTGGATTACTTGAGCCCAGAAGTTCAAAGCTACAGTGAGCCATGATCATGCCACTGCCCTGGAGCCTGGGCGACAGAGCAAGACCCTGTCTCAAAAAAAACAAAAACAAAAAATTAATTAAGAAAGAAAGAAAGAACAGATTTGGGGGTGGTAAGAAGACAAATAAAACAGAAAATTTCTCTTTTTGGCCTATATATTTCTATGTTGCCTGAATTTTTACAATTTAAACACTTATTTGCACAAAATAAATATTAAGGAAACAAGTTTCTTTTTTAAAACTGTAGGCTAGGTCCTACAGATTATATGGTATTGGGAAGGGGAAAGTGTTTCTCTATGTTTCTAGGAGCAAGTCTTCTCAGTACATTCTTCATCTCCCTAACATCCTAAAAGATTGGAAGAGTTCACAGGGCAACTTTCTTCCTAATGCCAAAATCTCCTTCCTCTGCAGCCACAGTTCTGAACTCTGGCTGCAAATTAGAATCACCTGGGAGAGGCCAGGAGTGATGGCTCACGCCTGTAATCCCAGCACTTTGGGAGGCCGAGGTGGGCAGATCACGAGCTCAGGAGATCGAGCCCATCCTGGCTAACACGGTGACACCCCGTCTCTACTAAAAAATACAAAAAAAATTAGCCGGGCGTGGTGGCGGGTGCCTGTAGTCCCAGCTACTCCGGAGGCTGAGGCCGGAGAATGGCGTGAACCTGGGAGGCAGAGCTTGCAGTGAGCTGAGATCGCGCCACTGCACTCCAGCCTGGGCGACAGAGTGAAGACTCCGTCTCAAAAAAAAAAAAAAAAAATCACCTGGGAGCTTTACAAAAAAGAAAGAAAAAAGGAAGGAAGGAAAGAAAGAGGAAAAGAAGGGAGGAAGGAAGGAAGGAAGGAGAAAGAATGAAAGAACGAAAGAAAAAGAGAGAAAAAGGAGGGAGGGAGGAAGGAAGGGAGGGAAGGAGGGAGGGAGGGAGGAAAGAAAAGGAAAGAAAATCATGGCTCTATCAGATAGCTTTCTGACCTTCTAAAACACAATGGATTCCTTTCACAGGACAATTCTCTGTAAGAAACAGCATAAGTGGCCAAACAACTGGTTCTATCAGGAGTCATTTCACTCTGAAATGTCAACTGCTGTAATCAGAATGTATCTGGCTGAGTAATAGAAATTCTGCCATCTTGAACCTAATGCAACATAACAGGTAGTTTACAGTTCATTTATTGAAAGTAGAGGATTATTATTATTATTATTATTTTAAATCTGAATATTTAATTCAATTTCTCAATAAGATTCCATGGGGTGCTGGAAAAGATCTAGAAACTAGAAAAGATCCTAATAAAGAGGGAGACATCTGAGAGCAGGAAGTGTAGCAAGGAGACAGAAACCACAATAGCTCTGGTGGGAAACCATGATGGAGGCTGTAAATAGCAGACAAGACACGGAGAAAATAAAATTAACATGACCAAGGGCAAAATGATAAAAAGACGAAAAGAAAGAGGCAGGCGGTCAGACACGGGGGATATAACCTGGGAATAATCGGAATTCTGGAGAGAACAAAACAGACATAGGGAAAGCAGTATTCAAAGAAATGGGAGGGGAAAAGTTTCCTGCTGTAAAGAAAGAACTCAGCTGGAAACTGAGAGCATGTTCTGACTTCCCAGCAAAGTTAATGAAAAGAGGGCCCCGCTTAGACACACTAGGATGGAATTCTCAAAGTTAAAAAAGTTAAGAAAATTGCCGGAACATACACACAGACACACCCTTGAAATAGGAAACTGAAAGGGAAGAGAGATTTTACTTTACTTGAAAGTAGAGGATTATTATCCTTTGTTTGCTACACTAATTTCTTTTTTTCTCTTTTCCTTTTTTTTTTTTTTTTTTAAGAGACAGGATCTCATTGTGTTGCCAAGGCTGGGCTTGAATTCCTGACCTCAAGCCATCCCCCAGCTTGGCCTCCCGAAGTGCTGGGATTACAGGCATGAGCCACCGCACCTAGCCCCTTACACTAATTTCTAATGAAAGATCCATCTGTTTACAAGAAGCACCATGTGTCAGCCACTGGTCTGTGGAGTTGAGAGCTGCGGCCTCAATTCCCAAGTGTTTCCATCATTTGGGGAGTGAAGTGGGCTGTCATCTCTGTAAAAAGCTTGGGAAAAGGTGACCATAATTAGGAAAGCTCTGTGGTCAAAGGCATTATTTATAATTCCTAGAAACATAAAGAACAAAGAAGAAAGAAAAAAAATGAAATAAGAAAGAGGGCTCCAGTCTGTAAATATAAGGAGCTTAGAAGTAACCACTCTGCCCTAGCAATAAGTAGAAATCTGAACAAACTAAAAAATCAGCAATTCTTCTTAGATTTGTTAGAGAAGAGAGGTTACTGGACAAACCACTGCCTTCAAAATTAGAAAGTCTAGGGTGCAAAAGATTAAGACCCAGTCATAGGACTATAGAATGTTCCCCTCCCCCCATACTGACCACCACACCACTAAAGGTCTACTTACCAGAGTCTTTTCTCTCTTTTCTTTTTCTTGAGATAGGGTCTCACTCTGTCCCCCAGGCTGGAGTGCAGTGGCACAGTCCCAACTACTTGGGAGGCTGAGGTAGGAGAATTGCATGAGCCTGGGAGGTCGAGGTGGCAGTAAGCCATGACCATGTCACTGCACTCCAGCCTGGGGGACAGAGTGAGACCCTGTCTCAAGGGAAAAAAAAAAGGAAAGAGAGACAGGGTTTTGCTATGTTGCCCAAGCTGCTCTCGAGCTCCTGAGCTCAAGGGATCCACCTGCCTTGGCCTCCCAAAGTGCTGACATTACAGGTGTAAGCCACCACACCCAGCCCCACATTCTTTTCATCTCTACAAAATATTCACATTTCAACAAAAAAGCACAAAGCATACTAAAGGGCAAAAAACGCAGTTTGAAGAGACCCAACGAGCATCAGAATCAGAGTCAGATAGGGCACAAATGTTGGAATTATCACACCAGGAATTTAAAAGTATGATTAATATGCTAAGGGCTCTAATGGAAAAAGTAGACAAGATATAAGAACAGGTAGATAATGTAAGTTAGGAGATGAAAAGCCTAAGAAAGAATCACAGAAAAGTGCTAGAGATCAAAAACACTGCAACAGAAATAAAGAATGCCTTTGATGGGCTCATTAGTAGACTGGACATGGCCGAGGAAACAATCTCTGAGCTTGAGGATATAAAAATAGAAACTTCCAGGACTGAAAAACAAAGATTAAAAAAGACTAAAACAAACAAAAACAAAATAGAACAGAATACCCAAGAACTGTGGGACAATTACAACAGGTATAACACACATATAAACCAGAAGGAGAAGAAACAGAGAAAGGAAGACAAGAAATATTTGAAGCTATAATACTAATAAGCTCCCAAATCTGATGTCAGACACCAAACCACACATCCAGGAAGTCCAGAAAACACCAAATGGGATATATGCCAAAAAAAAAACTACTTCTAGGCTTATCATATTCAAACTTCAGAAAATCAAAGAGGAAAAAAGTCTTGAAAGAAGACAGAGAGAAAAAAAACACTTTCCCTACAGAGGAGCAAAGATAAGAACTATATTTAACTTCTCATAAACGATACAAGCAAGAAGACAGGAGAATGAAATAGTTAAAGCATTGAGAGGAAAACACCACACCACCAATCTAGAAGTCTCTATCCTGAGAATTATCCTTCAAAGTGAAGGAGAAGGCCAGGCGCAGTGGCCTGTAATCCCAGCACTTTGCGAGGCCAAGGCAGGCGAATCGCTTGAAGTCAAGAGTTCAAAACCAACCTGGCCAACTTGGTGAAACCCCATCTCTATTAAAAATACAGAAATTAGCCAGGTATGGTGGCACACACCTGTGATCCCAACTACTTGGGAAGCTGAGGCAGGAGAATCGCTTGAACCCAAGAGGTGGAGGTTGCAATGAGCCGAGATCACACCACCGCATTCCAGCCTGGGCAACAGAACGAGACTCTGTCTCAGAAAACAAACAAACAAAAAAAAAGTGAAGGAGAAGTAAAGACTTTCTTGGCCAAATAAGAATTGTAGGAATGTGTGGCCAGTAGCCCTGCCTTGTAAGAAATGTTAAAAAAGAGTCCTTCAGAGAGAAAAAAAATGATATAGGTCAGAAACTCAGATCTACATAAAGAAAGGAAAAACATTAGATAGGAAATAAGAGAAGGTAAAATAAGAACTTGTATCTTTCATATTCTTAAGAATAATGTACTGACACACATATGTATGTTTATATGTTTATGTATGTATGAAATGAGTGACAGCAATAATATAAGGACAGGAGGGAGGCATTAGGAATTTTTTTATTAAATGGTAGTTATACTACCATAAAGTGGCATAGTGTTATCTGAAAGCGAACTTGGATTAGTTGTAAATGCGTATTGCAAACTCTAGGACAACCACCAAAAAAAGTTTTAAAGGAAGTATAATTAATACGTTAAGGAAGGAGAGAAAGGCCGGGCTCAGTGGCTCACGCCTGTAATCCCAACCCTTTGGGAGGCTGAGGTGGGTGGATCATGATCGTGGTCAGGAGTTCAAGACCAACCTGACCAAAATGGTGAAACCCCATCTCTACTAAAAATACAAAAATTAGCCGGGTTTGGTGGTGCATGCCTGTAATCCCAGCTACTCAGGAGGCTGAGTCAGGAGAATCGCATGAACCCGGGAGGCGGAGGTTGCAGTGGGCCGAGATCGTGCCACTGCACTCCAGCCTGGGGGAAAGAGAGAGAGACTCTGTCTCAAAGAAAACAAAAAAAGAAAGAAAGGAGAGAAAATGATGCCAGGCATGGTGGCTCATGCCTGTAATCCCAGCACTTTGAGAGGCTGAGGCAGGTGGATCACCTGAGGTCAGGAGTTCGAGACCAGCCTGGCCAACATGGTGAAACCCCATCTCTACTAAAAATACAAAAATTAGCCAGGCGTGGTGGTGCATGCCTGTAACCCCAGTTACTCGGGAGGCTGAGGCAGGAGAATCACTTGAACTGGGAGGTGGAGGTTGTAGTGAGCCAAGATTACACCACTGCACCTGCACTCCAGCCTGGGTGAGACAGCGAGACTCCATTGCAAAAAAAAAAGGAAAGGAGAGAAAATGAAATCATATAGAGTGCTCAATTAAAACCACAAAAGGCAGAAAAGGTGTGCATGACAAAAACAGGAGCAAAGAACAAGGGCGACAAATGGAAAATAGTAATAAATATACTAAATATTAATGCCATTATATCAATAATCACTTTTCATGCCAGTCATCTAAATACACAAAATACAGAGATTGTCAGAGTGGATCAAAAAACAAGACACAGATGGGGCATGATGGCTCACACATGTAATCCCAGCACTTTGGGAAGGCCAAGGAAGGAGGATCATTTGAACCCAAGAGTTCAAGACTAGACTGGGAAACATAATGATAACCCATCTCTACAAAAAAAAAAAATTAAAAATTAGCTGTGCTTGAAGCGGTGGCTCACGCCTGTAATCCCAGCACTTTGGGAGCAGAGGCGGGCGGATCACCTGAGGTCAGGAGTTTGAGACCAGTCTGGCCAACATGGTGAAACCCCATCTCTACTAAAAATACAAAAATTAGCCGGGTGTGGTGGCACCTGTACTCCCAGCTACTTGGGAGGCTGAGGCAGGAGAATCGCTTGAACCAGGAGGCACAGGTTGCAGTGAGTCAAGATCATGCCATTGCACTCCAGCCTGGGCGACAAGAGTGAGACTCTGTCTCAAAAAAAAAAAAAAGAAAGAAAAAAAAATTAGCTGAGAGTGGCAATGTGCACCTGTAGTCCTAGCTACTCAAGAGGCTGAGGTGGGAGGATCACTTGAGCCCAGGAGGTCAAAACTGCTGTGATCCATGATCATGCCACTGCACTCCAGCCAGGCAACAGAGTGAGACACTGTCTCTAAAAAAATAAAAATAAAAACAAGATGCATTATATGTTATCTGTAAAAAACCAACTTTGGCCGGGCACGGTGGCTCACGCCTGTAATCCCAGCACTTTGGGAGGCCGAGACGGGCGGATCACGAGGTCAGGAGATCGAGACCCCGGTGAAACCCCGTCTCTACTAAAAATACAAAAAATTAGCCAGGTGCGGTGGCGGGCGCCTATAGTCCCAGCTACTCGGGAGGCTGAGGCAGGAGAATGGCGTGAGCCCGGGAGGCGGAGCTTGCAGTGAGCTGAGGTTGCGCCACTGCACTCCAGCCTGGGCGACAGAGCGAGACTCCGTCTCAAAAAAAAAAAGAAAGAAAAAGAAACCAACTTTAAATATAAAGGTATATATAAAGTAAAAGTAAAGAAATGAAGAAAGATATATGATGCTCACACTAATCAAAAGAAGGCAGGAGTAGCTATATTAATTTCAGACAGAGAAGACTTCAGGAAAGTTATCAGGGATAAAGAGGGACAATGCAAATGATAAAGGGGTGAATATTCTGAGAAAAAACAATCCTTAATGTGTATGTACCTAACAACAGAAGATCAGAATATGTGAGGCAAAAACTGCTAGAACTGCAAGGAGAAATAAATGAATCCACTATTATAGTTGGAGACCCTAGCTTCATTCTATCAGAAATGGACAGATCCAGCAGACAGAAAAGCCAAAAGGACATAGTTGAACTCAACAGCACCATCAATTAACTGGATATAATTGACATCTAAAGCTGATGGGAGGATTGCTTGAGGCCAAAAGTTTAAGACCAATTTGGTCATCATAGTGAGACCACATCTCTATAAAATGTAAAATAATTTATTAACAAATTAAGGCCGAGCTCGGTGGCTCATGCCTGTAATCCCAGCACTTTGGGAGGCTGAGGAGGGCGGATCACAAGGTCAGGAAGCCGAGACCATCCTGGCTAACACGGTGAAACCCCGTCTCTACTAAAAATACAAAAAAATTAGCCGGGCGTGGCAGTGTGTGCCTGTAGTCCCAGCTACTCGTGAGGCTGAGGCAGGAGAATGGCGTGAACCCGAGAGGCAGAGCTTGCAGTGAGCCGAGATCACGCCACTGCACTCCAGCATGGGCGACAGAGCGAGACTCCATCTCGAAAAAAAAAATTAAAAAAGAAAAAAATTGACATCTATTGGCTACTTCATCTAGTAACAACAGAATACACATTCTTCTCAAGCTCACATGAAACACTTACCACGATAGACCACATTCTAGGTTGTGGTCTTCTCTCTTTTAAATTTTTAAAAATAGAAATCATACAATGTCTGTTTTCAGATCACAATGGAGTTAAACTAGAAATTAATAATAGCTGGGGCCAGGTGCAGTGGTTCACACCTGTAATCCCAGCACTTTGGGAGGCCAAGGCCGGAGGGTTGCTTTAAGCCAGGAGTTCAATACCAGCCTAGGCTACAAAGTGACATCCCAGCTCTACAAAAAAATTTAAAAATAAGCCAAGCATGATGGTGCACACCCATAGTCCCAGCTACTGAGGAGGCTGAGGTGAGAGGATCACTTGAGCCCAGAAGTTTGAGGCTGCAGTGAGCTAGGTGACAAGCGAGAGACCGTGTCTCTTAAAAAAAAAAAAAAAAGAAAAAAGAAAGATAGCTGGAAAATTCTAAAATACTTGGAGATTAAACTATACATTTATAAATAACACATAGGTCAAGGAGGAAATCTTGGAAAAAAACATATTTTCAACTAAACAAAAATGATAACACAACTTATCAAAATGTGTGAGATACAGCAAAAGCAGTGCTTAGGGAGAAATTTATAGCATTGAATGTATAATTAGAAAAGAAGAAAGATCTAGGCTGGGCATGGTGGCTCATGCCTGTAATCCCAGTACTTTGGGAGGCAGAGGCGGGAGGATCACCTGAGGTCAGGAGTTCAAGACCAGACTGGCCAACATGATGAAATGCCGTCTCTACTAAAAATACAAAAATTAGCTAGGCGTGGTGGCGAGAACCTGTAATCCTAGCTATTAGGGAGGCTGAGACAGGAGAATCACTTGAACCCAGGAGGCAGAGGCTGCAGTGAGCCGAGATCGTGCCATTGAACTCCAGCCTGGGCAACAAAGCGAAACTCTGTCTCAAAAAAAAAGAAAAAGAAAAGAAGAAAGATCTAAAATCATTTATCTACTTTTAGGAAACTAAAAAAATAATTAAATCCAAGGGAAGCAGAAACAAAGCAATAATGAAAATTAGAGCAGAGATGAATGAAATTGAAATAGGAAATTAATAGGGAACATCAACAAAACCAAAATCTACCTCTTTGAAAACATCAATAAAGTGTGTAAGTCTCTAGCCAGGCTAATATCATTTGCATATTTGTCCCTCCCCAAATTGTAATCCCCAGTATTGGAGGTAGGGCCTGGTAGGAGGTATTTAGATCATGGGGGCAGATCCCTCATGAATGGCTTGGGCCATCCCCTCAGTAATAAGTGAGCTCTCACTCTGGGTTCCCATGAGATCTGGTTGTTTAAAAGTGTGTGGCACCTCCCCTCTCACTCCCTCGCTCCTGCTTTCACCATGTGACATGCCTGCTCCCCCTTCCCTTCCACCATGATTATAAGTTTCCTGAGGCCTCCCTAGCAACTGAGCAGATGCCAGAACCATGCTTTCTATAAAGCCTGCAGAACGCTGAGCCAATTAAACCTCTTTTCTTTATAAATTACTCAGTCTCAGGTATTTCTTTATAGCAATCCAAAAACAGCCTGATATACAGGTTAACTAAGAAAAAAAGAGAGAAGAAACAAGTTACTAATATCACAAATGAAAGAGAGAACATCAGTACAGATCCCACCAACATTAAAAGAATAATAAAGGAATATTATGGACAACTCTATGCCCCCAGATTTGATAACCTAGAATGTACCAATTCCTAGAAAAGACACAATCTGCCAAAACTCACACAAGAAGATATAGACCATATGAATAGGCTTATATCTATTAAAGAAACTGAATCAATAATGATCAACCTTCCAAAACATTAGATCCAAATGTGTTCAATGGTGAGTCTAACAGACACTTATGAAAAAAATTGTATCAATTCTCTACCATCTCTTCCAAAAGATAGAAGCAGAAAGAGTACTTCCTAACTCATTCTATGAGACCAGCATTACCCTAATACCAAAACCAAAGACATGCAAGAAAAGAAAACTACAGACCAATATCTCTCATGAACATAAATGTAAAAATCCTCAAAAAAATTGTCAAATCAAATCCAACAATGTATAAAAAGAATTATAGGCCAAGTATAGTGGCTCACGTCTGTAATCCCAGCACTTTGAGATGCTGAGGCAGGTGGATCGCTTGAGCCAAGGAGTTCAAGACCAGCCTGGGGAACATGATGAAACCGTGTCTCTACCAAAAAATGCAAAACTTAGTTGGGTGTGATGGTGTATGCCTGTAGCCACAGCTACTCAGGAGACGGAGGTGGGAAGACCACTTGAGCCCAGGAGGCAGAGGCTGCAGTGACCTGAGATCATGCCACTGCACTCCAGCCTGGGTAACAGAGTGAGACCCTGTCTCCAAAAAATAAAAATAAAGGGCCAGGCACGGTGGCTCACGCCTGTAATCCTGCACTTTGGGAGGCCAAGGCGGGCAGATCACGAGATCAGGAGATCAAGACCATCCTGGCTAACATGGTGAAACCCTGTCTCTAATAAAAATACAAAAAAATTAGCCGGGCATGGTGGCAGGCACCTGTGGTCCCAGCTACTCGGGAGGCTGAGGCAGGAGAACGGCGTGAACCCGGGAGGCGGAGCTTGCAGTGAGCCGAGATGGCTGCCACTGCACTCCAGCCTGGGCGTGACAGGGCGAGACTCTGTTTCAAAAAATAAATAAATAAATAAATAATAAAAATAAAGAATTATACACCATGACCAAGTGGGATTTATCCCAGGTATGCCATGCTGGTTCAACATTCAAAAATCAGGCTGGGTGTGGTGGCTCACGCCTGTAATCCCAGCACTTTGGGAGGCAGAGGCGGGTGGATCACTTGAGGCCAAGAATTCGAGACCAGTCTGGCCAGCGTGGTGAAACCCCATCTCTACTAAAAATACAAAAATTAGCTGGGCATGGGGGCACATGCCTGTAATCCCAGCTACCTGGGAGGCTGAGGCATGAGAATCACTTGAGCCTGGGAGGCAGAGATTGCAGTGAGCCAAGATTGCACCTCTGCACTCCAGCCAGGGTGGCAAAGTGAGACTCTGTCTCAAAAATAAAAAAAAAATCAAAATCAATTAATGTAATCTGTCACATCAACAGGCTACCAAAGAAAAATCACATCCCATATCAGTAGATGCAGAAAAAGCATTTCACAAAATCCAACACCCATTGTGATTAAAAACTCTTAGAAAACTAAAAGGAGAACTTACTCAACTTGATAAGGAACCTCTACAAAAAAATCTATAGCTGACGTTATATGTACTGGTAAGAAACTTGAATCTTTCTCTCTATAATCAGGAACAAAGAGAAGGATATACCCTCTTACAACTGCTTTTCGAAATTGTCCTGGAAGTCCTAGATAATGCACTAAGACAAGACAAGATGAGATAAGACAAAAAAGTAAAGAAAGGGTATATGGATTGGGAAGGAAGAAATGACTGTCTTTGTTCCCGGAAATTATGGTTGTCTACACAGAAAAATCTGAAAAAACTGCACTGGCGCGGTGACTCAAGCCTGTAATCCTAGCACTTTGGGAGGCCGAGACGGGTGGATCACCTGAAGTCAGGAGTTTGAGACCAGCCTGGACAACATGGTGAAACCCTGTCTCTACTAAAAATACAAAAATTAGCCGGGCCTCGTGGCGCGTGCCTGTAATCCCAGCTACTTGGGAGGCTGAGGCAGGAGAATCGCTTAGAATCTAGGAGGCAGAGGTTGCGGTGAGCTGAGCTCGCCCCACTGTACTCTAGCCTGGGTGACAAAGCGAGACTCCGTCTCAAAGAAAAAAAGAAAGAAAAGAAAAATCAGAAAAAGTTGACAGAAAATACTCCTGGAGTATTTATAGTATTTATATCCTGGATTTCAAGATATAAGGCTAATGTGCAAAAGTCTATGACTTTCCTATATACCAGCAATGAATAAGTAAAATGTGAAATTAAAAACATATTACCAGTCAGGCTCGGTGGCTCACGCCGGTGATCCCAACACTTTGAGGCGGGTGGATCGCCTGAAGTCGGGATTTCGAGACCAGCCTGGCCAGCATAGTGAAATCCTGACTCTACTAAAAATACAAAAATTAGCCCGGCGTGGTGACAGGCACCTGTAATCCCAGCTACTCGGGAAGCTGAGGCAGGAGAATTGCTTGAACCCGGGAGGTGGAGGTTGCAGTGAGCCAAGATCGTGCCATTGCACTCCAGCCTGGGGCAACAGAGCGAGACTCCATCTCAAAAAAAAATTATATATATATATATATATATATATAATATTTATATATATATTATATACACACACACATACACACACACACAAAGAATACTTAAAACTCAACAATAAGATAACTTACCAAGGAAGATATAGATGGCAAGTAAGCATAGGAAATATGTTCAACAACATAGGTCATTAGGGAATTGCAAATTAAAACAATATACTAGCTGGGCGCAGTGGCTCACGCCTGTAATCCCAGCACTTTGGGAGGCCAAGGTGGGCGGTTCACTTGAGGTCAGGAGTTTGAAACAAGATACCACTACACACCTATTAAATGGCCAAAATCCAAAACAATGACAATAGCAAGAGTATGAAACAACAGGAACTCTCATTCATTGCTGGTGGGAATAAAAAAATGGTACAGCAACTTTGGAAGACAGTTTGGCAGTTTTTTATGAAACAAAGCTTACTCTTACCATATGATCCAGCAATTACGCTTTTTGGTATTTACCCGCATTAATTGAAAATTACATTCATATAAAAACCTGCACATGGATGTTTATAGCAGCTATATTCATACTTGCTAAAACTTGGAAGCAACCAAGATGTCCTTCAGAAGGTAAATGGGTAAATAAACTGCGGTACATCCAGATAAAAGAATATTATTCAGTGATAAAAAGAAATGAGCTATCAAGCCATGGAAAGACATGGAGGAAATCTAAATGCATATTACTAAGCATAAGAGGCCAATGTGAAAAAACTACATATTGTATGATCCAACTGTATGACATTCTGGAAAAGGCAAGGCGTTAGATTCAGTAAAAGATCGGTGGTTGCCAGGGCTTGAGGGAGGAAGGGATGAATAGGGGAAGCACAGAGGGTTTTTAAGACAGTGAAACTCCTCTGTATGATACTATACTGGTAAATCCATGTCATTATACATTTGTCCAGACCCATAGAATATACCACACCAAGGGTGAATCCTAATGTAAATATGGGCTTTGGGTGATAATGATGTGTCAGTGTAGGTTCATCAGTTGTAGCAAACGTACCACTCTGATAATAGGATGTCAATAGTTGGGGAGGTTCGCACATGTAGGGGAACAGTGGGTATATGAGCACTCTCTGTATTTTCCATTCAACTTCACTGTGAACTGCTCTAAAAAATAAAGTTGATAACCCTCTGTACAGTGACTCCATGGCTCTCAGCAGCCTTGAGTGGTGCCATCCCACCTGGCTCCCTCTGTTGTTATCTACTGTTTCCTTTTCTCTCCTGTCCTTGTATCTAAGTCAGGAAATAAGAGTGTCAAATCCCATTATGTCTCTAATTTGACAACAGGATTGGATGTTGTGTATTGTGGAGGTTTTTGTTTATATTGTTCCTAAGGTATGAAAAATAAAGGGGAAAACGTTGAATTGGAAGAAAACAAAATGCTGTAACATTCAAAGAGTAAATCAGGCCTGATTAGACGTTCATGTCTTGTATTTATAAGAGGTTAGTGGCCAGGCGCGGTGGCTCACACCTGTAATCCCAGCACTTTGGGAGGCCAAGGCAGGCGGATCACAAGGTCAAGAGATCGAGAGCATCCTGGCCAATATGGCGAAACCCTGTCTCTACTAAAAATACAAAAATTAGCTGGGCGTGGTGGTGCATGCCTGTAGTCCCAGCTGTTTGGAAGGCTGAGGCAGACTTGCTTGAACCCAGGAGGCAGAGGTTGCAGTGAGCTGAGATCACGCCACTGCACTCCAGCCTGAGGACAGAGTGAGACTGTGTCTCAAAAAAAAAAAAAAAAAAAAAAAGGTTAGTGATGCATTTTCTCAGTGCAAATTATTTTTTACTCCTACTTATATTTATGAATACAATATAGTCCATACAGAAAAGAAAAGAGACAGCCCATCAGTTTCATCATCTTCACTCCAGGATTCTGAGCTTGGCTGGCCTCTCCCAAAAGATAAACTGAAGGATTAAGAAAATCTATCTCGGCTGGGTGCGGTGGCTCACGCCTGTAATCCCAGCACTTTGGGAGGCCGAGGCGGGCGGATCACGAGGTCAGCAGATGGAGACCATACTGGCTAACACGGTGAAACCCCGTCTCTACTAAAAATACAAAAAAAATAGCGGAGCATGGTGGCAGGTGCCTGTAGTCCCAGCTACTCCGGAGGCTTAGGCAGGAGAATGGCGTGAACCCAGGAGGCAGAGCTTGCAGTGAGCCGAGACCGCGCCACTGCACTCCAGTCTGGGCGACAGAGCAAGACTCTGTCTCAAAAAAAAAAAAAAGAAAAAAGAAAATCTATCTCACCTAAAAACTGCCATATCTCCCTCAACAGTCTGCCAGTAAAAGGCTTCTCTTGCATGTAAGGTACAAGAAAAAGAAAATGATGAAAATTGTATTGCTGACTTTGCAAATGCAGATAAGAAGCAGTGGATGGTCTGAATGCAGTGAGTTATCCCAACTGATTGTTCACAGTCAGTTACAGATTGAACTCCTTGTTCTACTCTTTCCCCCCTTCTTACTACTGCACTTAACAGGAAGGAAGGAAAGAAGGAAAGGAAGGAAGGAAGGAAGGAACGAGGGAAGGGAGGGAGGGAAAGAGAAAGAAAGAAAGAAAAGGAAAGGAAAGGAAAGGAAAGGAAGGGAAGGGAAGGGAAGGGAAAGGAAAGGAAAGGAAAGGAAAGGAAAGGAAAGGAAAGGAAAGGAAAGGAAAGGAAAGGAAAGGAAAGGAAAGGAAAGAAAAGAAAAGAATTTCCTCATTGCCCAGGCTGGAGTGCAATGGTGCGATCTCGGCTTACCGCAACCACTGCCTCCTGGGTTCAAGCGATTCTCCTGCCTCAGTCTCCCCAGTAGCTGGGATTACAGGCATGCACCACCACGCCTGGGTAATTTTGTATTTTTAGTAGAGACAGGGTTTCTCCACGTTAGTCAGGCCAGTCTCCAACTCCTGACCTCAGGTGATCCACCCGCCTCGGCCTCCCAAAGTGCTGAGATTACAGGCGTGAGCCACCACACTTGTCCGAAAGAAAGGAAATTTTTAAAAAAAGAAGTAGCTGCCACTGGCCAAATAATTCTATTTTATTTATTTATTTTTATTTTTTAGAGACAGGGTCTCAGTCTGTAGCCCAAGCTGGAGTGCAGTGGCATGATCATGGCTCACTGCAGCCTCAACCTTCCAGGCTCAAGTGATCCTCCCAAGTAGCTGGGACTACAGGCATGCATAACCACACCTGGCTAATCTTTGTATTTTTTTTTTTTTTTTTTTGAGAAACAGGGTTTCATCATGTTGCCCCGGCTGGTCTTGAAGTCTTGAGCTCAAGTGATTCACCTGCCTCGACCTCCCAAAGTACTGGGATTACAGGCATGAGCCACCATGCCTGGCCTCAAGTTATTCTAAAACAGTGGTTCTTAACCCTGGCTGCACATTGCACTCACCATGGGAGTTTGAAAAATATTCATGCATGCATCCCACCCACAGAGATTCTGGTTTAATTAGAATTGGATGGGTCCCGGGCATGATGGCTTTTAAGCCTCCCAGATGACTGTAATGTATGGCAAGGGTTAAGAACCCTGCTCTAGTTTGGCATAGGTTTCTAAGCACCCATGCATTGATCCTAAACAGTCTCCTAAATAAATGGCTGGTCACTGACAAGAAATGAATATCAGTTTGAGAGAAGTATTTTAGTAAAAATCCAAGTAGGTTGATTTGAATTCATGGTATGTCTGTAGTACAGTAACATCAGTATCTAAACCCACAGGAGATGTAAAACTAGGGTAGAGGGATTCAGTAATTATCAACACAAAAAGTGGAACAAAGGAAGAAACAAGCAGGTGAGCTCAACTCAGAAGCTCTCCCACCAACCTTGGGGGAATTTTCTTTTTAATGGAAACAGTTGACTATTGGGAGCAGTGAGTAATCAAGTGTCGTCCTTTGTTCCAGAATTGAGAAGAATCCACAGTAAATATCCATTTCATGTTTATAATGGGTAAGAAATGTTTAATCCCACAGTGATTTTTCAGAGAACAAAATTAAAATCATACAATATTGATTCTTGTCTTTGTAAAATATATCACCAAATATTTGTATATGACTTTGAAATGTCAAAAGTATTAAAAGAATGAAGTACACACTCCTTTTTTAGTGAGATGAGGGCAACTCAAGTTACAAATGATCCCTCCTCTGGACTGTTTTCCACACTGTGACAGAAGGACTTTCTAAACTGCAACTCTGATCCAGTCCCTCCTCTGCTCCACATCCTCCGTCAGTTCTCTATGGCTTCCCTACAGGGCCTCCATGCCCACTTCTCCAGCCTTCCCTCCCTCTGCACCCTCCTACCACCCTGTGCTCCAGCCACACACAGCTCCTCAGACAGCACTGCTATGTCTCACTCTTAGGCTTTACCTGCACTGCTCCCTCTACCAGGACAGCTTCTTTCATGTGCCCCAGTCCTTCCGGTTTTGGAAAAACTTGCCACATCTTTCAAGATTCAGCTCAAGGTAACTTCAACTATGAACTTTTCCTGACCCATCCATATGATCACTCCCTCCTTTGCTCACTCATTCCCACTAACGTGACGCCTTACACTTGATATATTTACATTTTACCTGCCTAAATTTTACTCCTACATCCTGAGTCCTTTGATGTCAGAGACTGTATTTTACCCATTTACATGCCCAGCACTTATAAGAGCGATTGATATAATAAGATTTTTCTAAGTCTATTTTATGAATTGAATTTAACTGAATGTATCGAATGAATAATTTTATCTCTCCATAAATAATCTCCCCCTCCATCTGCCTCTCTGTCAACACAAACATACATACACACCCCAGGAAGAAAGAAAGGAAAAAGAAAGCATCCAGAATGGAACAGCTCTTGTGATAGTTCCATGATCGGTAGGGCTGCCTGTCTTACCATTGATGTTCTGTGCCCAGTGACTGAAGGCAGAGGTGAGGGGCTGTTTTCCCAGTGAGGAAAATCCAAGCAGGAGCTATTCCGAGAACCAGAGCTTCCTGAGTCACTGTGCAGATGTCGCTTTTCAGACAACAATCTGGACAGAAAGCTGGCCTTGCGACTGCCTGGGCGAGATCTGTCTATCCAGACCCCACTCTCTCTCATGCTGCCTTCACTGTCTCTGCAGTGACTATGAAGATCTGTGAGAGGCTCACCTGAGGGTTCTGGGTCCTGGGACTGCTCCCAGGTTCCTACTGCAAAGGATGGACAGTTTCTAGGAGCCGTAGTTGTACCTAGCCAGGACTGAGACATTGTATTCTGCAGGCCAAATGAGGAATGGTCTGATTGCTGTCCCAGGTGCTGATTTCCAGCACTGCCAGCCCAGGGACACGGGCTGTGAACATGGAGCTGTCCGCTATGCTGATCCTTCTCAGACCAGTCCTTTTTCCCATTGGAAGGGTCTACTTCAAGTTGCCTTGGCTGTGGGATTTGCCACATGGTTTTAGACTTTGGCACATTAACTCGAATGACTTGCTGTTGATTGTTAGCTTGAAGTGGAGAGATTCTTTCAGGCAATGAAGAGCAAATCATACACTGCTGGGCCACAGAATATTTCTTCAAATGGAATGGAGGGCCTGTTTCATCCTCAATGCCCTCACTGCTGGATTTCTTATAAAGTGTCCTCATAATTTTTCTGATGCCTAGATGAAATATTTCCAGTATATTGAGTAACAAGGAAATGGCTGCAATGCTGTGCATAAAAAGCATGAAAATTGTCTTCTCAGTGGGCCTGGATACAAAGCAATCCACCGCATTGGGGCAAGGAGGTTGAGTGCATTTGTAAAGGGGGTGCATTTGAAACCCATAGAGAATATATTGGCCTATCATGAATCCTACTTCCAGCACAGATCTGGTCAAGATGTGTAAGACATAAGTACGCAGCAGACATCCTTTCAGAGGGACTTTATGGATCCTCTTCTGCTCCTCTAACCTCCTCAGTTCCCTATCTATTCTTTGCTGCTCCTCCAAGTCAAGATCTGGATTCTCCATCTGGGCTCTAAGGTGTGACTTTTTCCTCTGCCTGTCTTTCTCAAAGGCCCTGAGCCTATAAAGTGCATGGCCCATATAGACCAAAGAAGGAGAAGACACAAAGATGATCTGTAAAACCCAGAACCTGATCAAAGAGATAGGGAATGCATCATCATAACAGATATTGTTGCAACCTGGCTGCCGGGTGTTGCAGGCAAATGCTGACTGTTCATCATCCCAGACATCCTCAGCAGCCACACGAAGTACCAGCATTCGGAAGATGAAGAGGATGGTCAGCCAGATTTTCCCCACTATGGTTGAGTGGGAGTGAACTTCCTCTAGGATGCCACCCAATAAGTTCCAGTCCCCCATGGTTAAAGACTAATGTCTGAAATATACAGAAAACACTGAGGTTAATAGCACCCATGGTGGTAATATATAGACACAAGCTCAAAAATACAGCAGGTTCTTTTGTATGTCAGCAAAATTATGAAGGATCTTCCAGCCCTAATATTTATAGCCCATGCTTAAAATAGGACATTTCCAAATATATTAATTTTTGAAAAAACACTAAATACCCCTCACAATTTCAGCAGTTTACTTCTTCCTATTCTCTTTTACTCTCCCCCACAAAGCTGCCTGTTATTCTAGTATACAAATAGGTCTCCATATTTGTACAATTCATTCTAATTGCACAATTGTATTCATTTTTCTATCCACATGAGATACGCTACTTACCATACATCTGACATGATCGTAAAGGAGTCTCAATTCCTCAGGAAGTGTTCCCTACCCATCCCAAGTTGTAGTTATTTTTCCCTTTCCTGAATCCTCACAACACTATTATTAATATTAATCACCTGGGACTGTGCCTAAATGAGTTTTGTGATGGTTGTGTTCCCCTTCCTGGAAAGGTACACCCCTTGCAGATAGAGACTCTTTCTAAAGCATGTTGGTCATCGCACACACAAGGCGTCAATATATAATAGTCAATGGAATTGTCTTTTCACTTTAAAATTCTGTTCCTTGACCCTATCACCAAAATAACCATCAATAGGCAAAATAAAGTAGATCCTCATGATATATTATCCAGGGCTTTCACTGCAAGACAAAGTATAGGTAAAGAAAATACAAATCAGTCAAACCCTCAGGAACTGGCTCATATCAGGGTAGCAGTAAAGATTAGGCAGACACAGAAACAATACCAGCAATAACACATAATTACATCCATTAAGCCACATCTGGAACATCATGTTTTCATGGAATTTTTGCTAACTTAGAAGAAAAGTGAATATAAACTGCTTCTCTAGCAAGCTTAGGATCTGGGAAACAATACAGGTATAGCTGACATGAACAGGTTACTTGGTTTATCCTGAAAAACTAATGTTTTTCAAGGTTCAATAAGGTTAAAATACTTAGTAGGTTAAAGCTTTCTAAGATATGGAAGACTTCCAGATAAGAAAGATACAGAGGAAAAATAGGAAAGTATTATTAAGTTAAAATAGATAATGAGGCTGGACGTGGTGGCTCATGCCTGTAATCCTAGCACTTTGGGAGGCTGAGGTGGGTGGATCACCTGAGGTCAGGAGGTCGAGATCAGCCTGGCCAACATGGTGAAATCCCGTCTCTACTAAAAATAGGAAAACTAGCCGGTGTGGTGGCACGCGCCTGTAATCCCAGCTACTCAGGAGGCTGAGGCAGGAGAATCACCTGAACCCAGGGGGCAGAGATTGCAGTGAGCTGAGATCACGCCACTTCACTCCAGCCTGGGCAAAAGAGTGAAACTCTGTTTCAAAAAAAAAAAGATAATGAAACAATTCTCTCCTTCCATAATTCATTCATTCAGTAATATTTGCTAACATCTTGCTATTGGCTGGGCGCAGTGGCTCATGCCTGTAATCCCAACACTTTGGGAGGCTGAGGCGGGCGGATGATGAGGTCAGGAGATTGAACACAGCCTGGCCAACATAGTGAAACCCCGTCTATACTAAAAATACCAAAATTAGCCAGGTGTGGTGCTGTGCGCCTATAATCCCAGCTACTCAGGAGGCTGAAGCAGGAGAATCGCTTGAACCTGGGAGGCGGAGGTTGCACTGAGCCAAGGTCATGCCACTGTACTCCAGCCTGGGCAATAGAGCAAGACTCTGCCTCAAAAAAATAAATAAAATAAAATAAAATAAATCAAACCTTGCTATCGCTTAGGCATTGGGCTAGATGCCAGGAATTCAATAACAAAATATATTTGGTCCCAGACCTCACAGTACTTGATCACTAAGGACTCCCACTAACCTATAAAATGAATCAATACTGATAATACAAAAATGAATATCAACCAAAAGAAAAAGAGAGAAAAACCTGGAATTCTTAGATTTTTTTCCAACTTATCTCCAAACACAACAATTGATTCCAGATGGAACATAATATTAATTGTAAAAAAGTAAACCATAAAAGTATTAAAATAAATTATAAAAGAATATGTTTTGTAATCTTGAAGTAGAAGGCTTTTTAAGCACATTAGTGCCAGAAATTATAATTAGAAAAAAATCCAGATTCTAGCTGGGCATGGTGGCTCACTCCTGTAATCCCAGAATTTTGGGAGGTGGAGGCAGGAGGACTGCTTGAGCCCAGGAGTTGCAGACCAGGCTGGGAAATATAGTGAGGCCCCTGTCTCTACAAAAAATAAATGTAAAAAGTTAGCCAGGCATGATGGTGAGTGCCTATAGTCCTAGCTACTAGGGAGGCTGATGTGGGAGGATCACTTGAGCCCAGGAATTTGAGGCTGCGGGGAGCCATAATGACACTACTGCACTCCAGCCTGGGTGACAGAGTGAGACCCTTCCTCAAAAAAAAAAAAAAAAGAAAAAGAAAATACAGATTCTACCAGCAAAACTGAATGGCAAAGGTGGAGCTGTCCAGAAGGTATCTGGGTCTAGAGAACAACGACAACAAAAATGGTACAAACAGGAGATAAACATTTATGAATTATCATTGAATAAGTAGAGAAGATCCCTCAGAGACAAAAAGAAAAAGTGAGACAATGACAGAACCCTGAGACTAATATAGAGGAAGAAAGAGTGAAGGGGTGGGTTGCCCCTCCACACCTGTGGGTGTTTCTCGTTAGGTGGAAGGAGAGACTTGGAAAAGAAAGAGACACAGAGACAAAGTATAGAGAAAGAAAAAGGGGCCCAGGGGACCGGCATTCAGCATACGGAGGATCCACGCCAGCACCGGCCTCTGAGTTCCCTTAGTATTTATTGATCATTATCGGGCATGGCAGGATAATAGGTTAATAGTGGAGAGGAGGTCAGAAGGTAAACACGTGAACAAATGTCTCTGCATCATAAACAAGGTAAAGAAAAAAGTGCTGTGCTTTTGATGTGCATATACATAAACATCTTAATGCCTTAAAGAGCAGTATTGCTGCCAGCATGTCCCACCTCCAGCCCTAAGGCGGTTTTCCCCTATCTCAGTAGATACAATCGGCTTTACACCGACACATTCCATTGCCCAGGGACGAGCAGGAGACAGAAGCCTTCCTCTTATCTCAACTGCAAAGAGGCGTTCCTTCCTCTTTTACTAATCCTCCTCAGCACAGACCCTTTACAGGTGTCGGGCTGGGGGACGGTCAGGTCTTTCCCTTCCCACGAGGCCATATTTCAGACTATCACATGGGGAGAAACCTTGGACAATACCTGGCTTTCCTCGGCAGAGGTCCTTGAGGCCTTCCGAAGTGTTTTGTGTCTCTGGGTACTTAAGATTAGGGAGTGGTGATGACTCTTAACAAGCATGCTGCCTTCAAGCATTTGTTTAACAAAGCACACCCTGCACAGCCCTTAATCCATTTAACTCTGAGTTGACACTGCACATGTTTTAGGGAGCACAGGGTTGGGGGTAGGGTTACAGATTAACAGCATCTCAAGGCAGAAGAATTTTTCTTAGTACAGAACAAAATGGAGTCTCTTATGTCTATTTCTTTCTACACAGACACAGTAACAATCTGATCTCTTTCTTTTCCCCACAAAAGAATCTACAAATAAATATGAGAAATGGCCAAGGAGAAAGAGGAGGAAAATCATGAGGGTGCTGTCTCTGAAACCAAAGCCCAAAGCCAGAGTTTCAAGAAGGGGAATAGTTGACAATGCCAAATACACACACACACACACACACACACACACAAACACACCACTATATAAATTAATTTAATTTAATGGTGATATACCATGCTCAGGGATTGAAAATTGCAATATAGGTAAAGATGTCAATTCTTCCCAAATTAATCCAAAGATTCAGTGTGGAATTGTAAATCACTCAGTAAAACAAAATTCTATAAATGTACATGTATATGTATGCATGTGTATATGAGATATATATGTATGTGATTTAATTGAGCATGGAGAAAAAAATGCAGAAGGATACACACCAGGAATTTAATATAGGTTACCTGAGCTGTTGAAGGTGATGAGAGTGGACGGGAAGTTAAGGTGGAAAAAAGAGAGGCTAAAAAGAGAAAGGAAAGGAAAAAAGACTTCTAAGAAAGCATAAGTGATTTTTATCAAAAGTGTATGTTTATGTACATTTTTACCTGTATGTACGTATATAAATATAAATAATTTTTTAATGAAATTGAAAAAGTGGTAGATACCTCTCAGAATTTGGAAGAGGTATTAATGAGACTTTTATAATTTACTCTATATACTTGTGAATTGTTTGAGATTCAAAAATTAAGAATGCAGTCATTTATATTACTTGCAAATAAAAATTAGATATTAAAATGAGGACTCAGACCTCATTAACCAAAAGCAATAATTTACTAAGTTCTATCCTGTCTTAAAGTTTTGGTCTTTTCCCATAATTATTCTCTTAAAACTTTCTGGTCATTATTCTTTATTTTAAAAAGGGATTTCCTCTGCAGGTAGAGATCCGGAAAAAAAATAAAGGATTCCTTTAGCACTTAAAAAAAATCTATAGCTTCTATTTTATATAAAAACCCTGAGGTGGGAAAGCTAACTTATGTCAATCTTATTCCTATTTGGCAGTACTAAACTATATAATACTTCTTTTTGCCACTATCTCTTTAAAATGTGGAAATTATTATTTTTAAATAGCAAGGAAAGGAAAACCGAGCTTAGCCTATACGAAAAACAAAAATACAATCTTACATACTAGAATACAAGACATTTTGTCCTTTAGACAACTAGTCCGTTTTCTAAAAATAACTACTTTTTACCATTAAATGAATGTGGGTCTTAGAAATATTACTGAATTTTCTTTTATTATCAAATACAAATTTAGCATATCCTATGTAAAATGCTGATGGCCCTTTTCTGCATATTATTTCAGATCTTGTTTTCTATACCCACAAGGATTTTCTATATATTTCTCATAAACAAGAGAGTCCACATATTTACTACTTACCTTATGAGTGAACAAAAAAATCACGATTGGGTTCGCAGAACCTCAAAGTTGCACCGTGTGTGGCTCATTAGTGGAAAAATTGCTGCTGGTTGCAGATATAAAGGCTCTGATCAGGTGGCTGTGGGGCCCTAATCCAGAATGAGCACAGTTATTTTGATCAATGGAGTCTAACCTAGTCCTCCCCCAAGGTTCAAAATGTCCTCTGGTGCTTTGCAATTTTCTTACAGTATTTTTTTCTAATTGATACCAAGCTGGGACCTCTCCTGGTATATCATATTTGGAAATGAAAAGTGAAACAAATGAGAATTTTCCTTTTGCGTTGGTGAATGCATACAGTGATTTAAGTTTGGGTGCATTTCTTTCAGTCTGTTGATTGTTCTAGGAATCGATGCTCACAGATCAATGAGTCATGTCCGATTTCATAAACAACTGCCTGGGGTGAGTGTGGCCTCATAAATGTGAACAAATAGTAATGGAGTGGCAATCAAACCTAAAGTGTTACTGCAAATCATGCCATGCTGAAAGAAGAAACATCTCAAAAAGAGAATAAACATTTTTAGGGTCGGGTGTGGTGGTTCATGCCTATAATATCAGCACTTTGGGAGGCCAAGGCAGAAGGATTGCTTGAGGCTAGGAGTTGGAGACCAGCCTGAGTAACATAGTGAGACCCCAGTCCTTACAAAAAAAAAAAAAAATTAACAAAGGATTGTGGTGCATGCCTGTAGTCTTAGCTACTCGGGAGGCTGAGGAGGGAAGACAACTTTAACCCGGGAGTTCAAGGTTGCAGTGCTATGATTGCACCATCGCGTTCCAGCCTTGGTGACAGAGCAAGACTCTGTCTCAAAAAAAAAAAAAAAAAAAAAAAAGAAAGAAAGAAAAGAAAAAAGACCAGTACGTGGTGGCTCATTCCTGTAATCCCAGCACTTTGGGAGGCCTCAAGCAGGTTACTTGAGCCCAGGAGCTCGAGACTAGCCTGAGCAACACTGCAAAACCCCATCTCTGCAAAACAACACAAAAATTCGCTGGGCATGGTGTTGTGCACCTGCAGTTCCAGCTACTCGGGAGGCTGAGGTGGGAGGATCACTTGAGCCCAGGAGGTGGAGGCTGCAGTGAGCCCAGATCGCGACACTGCACTCCAACCTGGGCAACAGAGCAAGACTCCGCCTCGAAAAAAAAGAAAAAAATAAACCTCCCTCTCCTCCTCTCTCCCTCCTCCTCTTCTTATTCTGCCTCTTCCTCTTCCTCCTCTTCTCCCTTCCCCTCCCCTCCCCTTCCCCTCTCCCTCCTTGGAATAGGAGGGTTCCAGGAGGTGGTGCCCCCTAGGCGCTGCACAGCCTGCTTCCTAGGTACAGACACCCACGCGGTCAAGCCCTACAGGCCCCGCCTTCCAGGATGGCTAGCAGCCGCCTGCCTCCCAGGCCCCAGCACAGGGCACATGGGGTGCGAGGGCACACGGGGTGCTAGGGCACACAGCCAGGCTCTCCACTGGGCCGCGGGTGGCACAGAGCTGCCTCGAAGTGAACAGGTCCGTTGGGGCGGGAGGGTGTGCAGACGTCCTGGAGGCTGACCCCTAAGAAGCTGGTGTCCACCGGGACTGGCTGTTGGCCGGAGTCGCTCCCCGGGCTCCCTTCTCTGGAAGGGATTTCACGTGGATCTGGTTGCGCAGCACAGCTACCCTCAGCATCCGGCCTTTGGCGCGGTGCTGAAACTCCCTGCCGATCCGCAGAGACTTCTCGAAGGTGGTGCTTGCGCTGATCCACATCCCGGGCGTCCAGGATCTTGCTGTGCGAGTCCACGCGGGCGCGTCAGCCCCTCCCGGACTTGCTGCGTCAGCTCACCCTCCCGGGCTGCCACAGCGGGGCTAAGGGCACGGCCACCCTGTGCGAGTTGAGGGCAGAGTTGCGAATCTGGGCGTACAGGGTCCTGACGGTGGGGCGGTGAGGGAGTGGGGGTGGGGGAGGTACACATGTCCAAGAGCAGGTCGTCCTACATCTCCTCCTTTGTGTGTGTGTGTGTGTGTGTGTGTGTGTGTGTGTGTGTGTGTAGACAGAGTCTCTCTTTTTCTCCCAGGCTAGAGTGCAGCGGCGCGATCTCGACTCACTGCAAACTCTGTCTCTCACGCTCAGGCAATTCTCTTCCCTGAGCCTCCGGAGTAGCTGTGATTACAGGCAGGCACCACCACGCCCAGCTAATTTTTGTATTTTTTAGTAGAGACGGGATTTCGCCATGTTGACCCAACTGGTCTCAAACTCCTGGCCTCAAGGCTAAAGGTGCAGCATCTTCAGACACGAGGCATCGTCCAGCATCTTCAGACACGAGGCACGCTTGGACTCGTGGAATTAGAAGACGATGTCTCCAACCTGCGGCTCCAGCTCCAAGAACAACTTGAAGGAGCTGCTGGAGATGAGGCGGCGCTGCAGCTTCTGCCGGTCGAAGGTGGCCAAGGCGCATAGGCCCCCACAGACGGCCACGTTGCTGGGGGACAGCAGCTGGGGGACGTCACAGTGATCAAACGAAGCCAGCAGGAAGCATTTGGCAGCCTGCTTGTACTTCCTCGCGACCAGCTCTGCCAAGCCTCCAGCGCATTGAAGCTGGGTGAGGACCGCCTGCGCCTGGCTGGCTGCCCCTCTGTCCTCGCTGCTAGGCAATCTCCAGGGTGGACTCGGCCTTGCTGACGCGGCTCAGCACGTAAGGCCAATTTTGCAAGTAGACGCTGACCTTGAAGACGTTGAGGACATGTTGATGGCGTGCTTGGCGCTGCTGCAGTAGTCTCAGGCCGTGAGTGACACTTGAGGGCATTGCTGAATCATCATGGCCGCGCCTGGTGCGCTCCTTGGTGGAGTTGCGCTTGTAGTTCTTCAGGTCTGCGTCCGGCTTCTCCAGCTTAAGCAGGGCCTCTTTCTGAGTGGCCTCCACCCAGGCCGTGTCCAGGGACGGGGGCTCCACGCCACTCTCAAGGATGGCGTCGGGTGAGTTCCTCAGATTCCTGGTGGCCTCCGAGAGCTTCAGGTGGACCTCTTCGAGAGCTTCCGGTGGACCTCTTCGTACAGGTCCACGTTAAAGATTCTCTGCAGGAAGGAGAGCGCCATATTCAGGGCATCCACCCGCAGCAAGGGGCAGTAGTCAGTCAGCAATAAACTGCAGCCGCTCAGTGCACATCAGGCCGCTGCAACTGGCAACGCACTGCTCCAGTTCCAGGGTGGCGTCCACCAAGTAGTTGATGTCGGGTGCATTCTGCAGGTCCTCCGGGAGGTCCTTGTCGACTTGCATGGGCTCCACAGCCGCCTCCTCAGAGTAGCGTACAGGACGACAGGCTGGAGCTCAAGATTAAGTTCCTGGCCATGCCAGGCAGGAGGAGGTAACACCTACAGCAAATGTGTGTGTGTGTGTGTGTGTGTGTGTGTGTGTGTGTGTGTGTGTGTGTGTGTGTGTGTGTATGTATGTATTTTTTTTTTAAATGAGGTGGAGTCTTCCTCTGTCGCTCAGGCTGGGGTGCAGTGGCGCCATCTCGGCTCACTGCAACCTCTGCCTCCTGGGTTCAAGCGATTCTCCTGCCTCAGCCTCCTGAGTAGCTGGGATTACAAGCATGCGCCATCATGCCCGGCTAATTTTTGTATTTTTAGTAGAGACGGGGTTTCACCATGTTGGCCAGGCTGCTCTCCAACTCCTGGCCTCAAGTGATCTGCCCTCCTCAGCCTCCCAAAATGCTGGGATTACAGGTATGAGCCACCGCGCCCAGCCCCTACTGCAAATTAAACACCTGAACCCGCAGCGGCATCTTGCACCAGCCCCGCCACAGCATGCCGTCCATTTCTGTGCCGATATTCTATTAGTAGTAGTAGTAGTAGTAGTACTAGTATTTTAAAGATAGGGTCTTGCTCTGTTGCCCAAGCTGGACTCCAACTCCTGGGCTCAAGTGATCCTCTTACCTCAACCTCCTGAGTAGCTGGGACTACAGGTGTGCATCACCATTCTTGTTGTAGCAATATTCTATTAGGTCAAAACATATGGCTCAAGAAAATATTTTTCTTTCTAAATAGAGAATCTGGAAGCCAGTAGTAGCCTTAGAAACCTAGGTCTGATTTTTGTAGAGAAAGAATGAGAATTCCAGAGAGGTCAAACGACTTGCCCAATGCTGATAGACCAGGTCTCCAAACTCTCAGTGTGCAGCATCTTTCGCTAGTCACATCTCAAGCATATAATCTTCTTGCCATCTTAAGAGGTGTTGACCGCAAGGGCATCACTAGAACCCAATGAGGGTTTCAGATCACAGCTCTGAGGCACATTTCTAAGCCTGCTCTTTTCCATATAAAATGTAGAAGTGCATAAAATTACTGATAGTTCATCGTTATCATCTGCCTATTCTATTTTTGGTCATTTAGTTTTTAAAAAAGGATGATAATGAAAGGTAGACAGGTGACATTAAACTTCCACTAGCCTGGCACATCAGCCCAAAGTACAAATTATCTGTCAGAATTAACTAGAGGTAAAAACATATGATGTATTAATAACTGTATTTGTATAGTATTAGGTAAAAAGTCACCTGAAAAGTAATGAATGTAATACATTGAATGCATTTTGTCAGAGTCAGAATATTAAACATTGATAAGCAAAGGATGCATGTGTAATCTCTTAAACATTGATAAGTAAAGGATGCATGTGTAATCTCTCAGAGAACAATAAAGTTAAGAGAGGTAAAATTGAATTAAAAATAATCAACCTAAAAGAAATTAAAGAAGAGGAGAGGAAATAACACAGAGGAGATAGGACATAATAGAGGAAAGAGTTGGATGGAAGATTTAAATTCCCCCACAAAAAAACAATACTTCATCCTCAGGGCAATTGCAGAGATTAGTGCAATTGCAGAGATTAAAGTCTTGAAAGCGGCTGAGCACAGTGGCCCTTTTCAAGGGGCCAGCATTTTGGAAGGCTGAGTCGGGTGGATCACTCCAGGCCAGGAGTTCCAGACGAGCCTGGGCAACATGGTGAAACCCCATCTCTACTAAAAATACAAAACGTAGCCACGTATGGTGGCGCATGCCTGTAATCCCAGCTACTTGGGTGGGTGAGACACGAAAACTGCTTGAACCGGGGAAGCAGAGGTTGCAGTGAGCCAAGGTCATGCCATTGCTCTTCAGCCTGGGGCCTGGGCAACAGAGTGAGACCCTGTCTCAAAAAGAAAAAAGACACTAAATGTGCTGCATGGTACTACCTATCTCATCCTTTGTACAGAAAAAGAATAATAGATCTTAGAAAATTATCACCTTAATCATGCACTGACTCCAATTGCAGTTACTGCTCCAGATGTGGTATCTTTAATGGAAGAAATCGAATTAGTCTTGTCACACAGTATGCAGCCATTCACATGGCAAATGCTTTTTCTCTATATCAATTTGCAAATATTAACAGAAGTCATTTGCCTTAAAAAGAAAACAAAGTGGGCCGGGCGCGGTGGCTCACGCCTGTAATCCCAGGACTTTGGGAGGCCAAGGTGGGTGGATCACGAGGTCAGGAGATCGAGACCATCCTAGCTAACATGGTGAAACCCCGTCTTTACTAATAATACAAAAAAATTAGCCGGGTGTGGTGGCGGGCGCCTGTAGTTCCAGCTACTCGGGAGGCTGAGGCAGGAGAATGGCGTGAACACGGGAGGCAGAGCTTGCAGTGAACCGAGATCACGCCACTGCACTCCAGGCTGGGCGACTGATCAAGACTCCGTCTCAAAAAAAAAAAAAAAAATGCCGGGCGTCGTGGCTCACCCCTGTAACCCCAACACGTTGGGAGGCCGAGGTGGGCGGATCACGAGGTTGGGAGATCAAGACCATACTGGCAAACAGCGAAACCCCGTCTCTACTAAAAAATACAAAAAAACTAGCTGGGCGTGGTGGCAGGTGCCTGTAGTCCCAGCTACTTGGGAGGCTGAGACAGGAGAATGGCGTGAACCTGGGAGGCAGAGCTTGCAGTGAGCGGAGATCGCGCCACTGCACTCCAGCCTGGGCGACAGAGTAAGACTCCGTCTCAGAACAAAACAAAGTGAATGAGTCTGTATTAACATAAATTTCAAAAATATTCTTAGTGACTGGGCGCAGTAGCTCACACCTGTAATCCCAGCAATTTGGGAGGCTGAGGCAGGTGGATCACCTGAGGTCAGGAGTTGGAGACCAGCCTGACCAACATGGTGAACCCCCGTCTCTACTAAAAATTACAAAAAATTAGCCAGGGGTGGTGGCACATGCCTGTAATCCCAGCTACTTGGGAGGTTGAGGCAGGAGAATTGCTTGAACCTGGGAGGTGGAGGTTGCAGTGAGCCCAGATCGCACACACTCCAGCCTGCGCAACAAGAGCAAAACTCCATTTGAATAAAAAGAAATCTGAGTGAATAAAGGACATCACAGAACAAAACATACTTTGGAATACTCTCATAAATTTAAAACTCTCAATTCTATATGTTGTTTATAGGAATATATATTTTTATGAAATATATATATGTACATATATATATATTTTTTTAATTCTAAGCTTCCATGAGCTGAGCAGGCCTGACATCTGAGAATGGCTACTTTCTTGATTTTTATAAGGCCCTGGAGTGTTAGAATGTATGCTGCCAACCTCCAACAATTTGCTTTTATCTGGCAGGGTCAACAATACATCTTTCACCATCTTGCCTAAGGGCTTCATCAATTTTCCTGTTCTCTGCCATAATCTAGGCCACAGAGGTCTAGATGAGCTTGATAACCCCCAGAATATCATACTGGGTCACTACATTGATAACATAATGCTGATTAGACCTGATGAGCAAGAGAAAAGTACTGTCGATATTTTAGTAAGAAGACAAATGCAGGCCACAGGGTAGAATACAAGCCCCACAAAAATTAAGGGACCTGCCACTTCAGCAAAGTTTCTAGAGATCCAGTCCTCCCCAAGTGAAAGTAGTTTCTATCCCTTGCACTATAACTACCACTACCACCAACACCATACAAAAAAAAAGGTGCAATGCTTGATAAGCCTTTGTGAATTATGGAAGTCATTTGATATGCTACTCTGGTCCATTAAATGAATAACCTGTAAGGCTGTGAGATTTTCCTGGGAAACAGAGAAAGAAAAAACTCTGCAGTAAGTTCAGTCTGCAGTGCAAGAGTGTGCAAAATCCCAGCAAATTAGATGAATTCAAAGAAACTTTAGCTAATAAATATGTGATATGGTTTGGCTGTGTCCCCACCCAAATCTCACCTTGTATTGAAATAATCCCCAGGTGTCCAGGGTGGGGCCGTGTGGAGATAATCGAATCATGGGATGGTTTCCCCCCCATAGTGTTCTTGTGGTAGTTAATAAGTCTCATGAGATCTAATGGTGTTGTAAATGGGAGTACCCCTGCACAAGCTCTCCGGCCTGCCACCATGATTGTGAGGCCTCCCCAGTCATGTGGAACTGTGAGTCCACTAAACCTCTTTTTCTTTATAAATTACCCAGTCTTGGGTATATCTTTATCAGCAGCATGAGAACTGATTAATACAATATGTCACATGGAGGCTCTAGCAAGCCTTAATAAAAGAATCACAGTGCAGAGCTTCAGCATTCTGGAGCATAGCTATGCCCTGTTAGAGACTGAATGCCTGACCATGGTACGTCAAGTGACCAGGTGACCTGAGATATCCAGAATGAACTGGGTATTATCTGATCCATGCCACCATAAGGTTGGGCACACACAGCAGCAATACATCAATAAGTGTAAATGTTATATAAAACATCAGGCTGAAGCAGGTCTGGAAGGTGTATTAGTTGCATAAGCAGATTCCTCTGATACCCAATACTGTACCTGCTTCTTTTCTCACTCAGTCAACACCTAGAGCCTCATATGAAGTTCCTTATGACCGGTTAACTGGGGGGGAGAAAAAATATTTGGGCCTATTTTCCAGATGTTTCTGACTGATGTGCCAGCAAAGGCCAGAAATAGACTGCTGCAATGTTACAATGCCAACCAGGAGATAATGTTGAAGGGAAATTCTCCTGGGAGGTAGAACTTTGAGCAGCATATATGATTGTCTTCTTCAACTGGAGTGGGAAAGGGCCAGACATAGGATGTACATTCAAGGGAAGTGGTTAAAGGTTTGGCTGGATGGTTTAAGACTTGGAAAAAACAAAATGTGACAAGGTCTAAGAAAAAAGTATCGTGAAGGGACTTCTAGGATTAGAGACAAAATGTGAAGATATTTGTGTTTTATGTCAGTGTTCACCAAAGACACCTACTGTAGAAGAGAATCTCAATAGTGAAATGAACAAAATAATACATTCTGGGGATGTCAGTCTGTGTCTTTCCCTTGCAAATCCAGTGCTTGCTCAATGGACCCATAAACAAAATCACCATGGTGGTGAGAAAGAAGGCTATGGGCTCAGCGACATGGATTTCCACTCACCAGAGCTGACCTGGGTGCCTCCATTGTGGAAGGCTTAGCATGTCAAGAACAAAGTCAAAGTTAAGTCCCAATATGGACTAGCCAACTACCTACTAGCAGGTTTCTTACATCAGACTGACCCTATCCATGGAGGGGAATGTAATTTGTTTTCACTGGGAGAGACGTATTCTCCAAGTATGGATTTACCTCCCTGACCTTAATGCTTTTGTCAGCACCACCAAGCACAGCCTAATGGAATACTTATTCGCCATTATGGCATTGTACACATTTTCTGTTCAAGAAACAGATTTCACAGGAGAATAAGCTCAGCAATGGGCTTATGCTCACGTTTTTCACTGATCTTATCATGTAACTTTTCAAGAATTTAAAAAGAGGGAACACATTCCAATTCACTTTACAGAGTCAGCATAACTTGGATACCAAAACCTTACAAGACATTAAGAAAGAAAAAAATGGGCCAGGCACAGTGGCTCACACCTGTAATCCCAGCACTTTGGGAGGCCAAGGTGGGTGGATCATGAGGTCATGAGTTCAAGACTAGCCTCGCCAAGATGGTGAAGCCCTGTCTCTACTAAAAAAATACAAAAATTAGCCGGGTGCGGTAACAGGTGCCTGTAAACCCAGCTACTCAGGAGGCTGAGGCAGGAGAATCGCTTGAACCCAGGGGGCAGAGGTTGCAGCAGTGAGCAAGATCGCGTCGCTGCACTCCAGCCTGGGTGACACAGTGAGACTTCATCTCAAAAAAAAAAAAAAAAAGAAAGAAAGAAATGTAAGCCAATTTCACACACACACACACACACACACACAAACAGAATATCCTAAACAAACAGTATAGTAAACTAAATCCAACAATATATTTAAAAAGGATATAATACATTACTTTAAAGTTGGGTTTATTATTGTGTTGACAAGGAGTTTTAAGAAAAAATGAAATAAAAGTAAAGTTTATTCTGAAACTGCAAGGTTTAATTTTTTTAATGATTTAATTTACCACATTTAATAAAGGAGAAAATAAATAAAGGAGGTACTTTTTTTTTTTTTTTTTTTTGAGATGGAATCTCTCACTCTGTCACCCAGGCTAGAGTGCAGTGGCACAATCTTGGCTCATTGCAACCTCTGCCTCCCAGGTTCAAGCGATTCTCCAGCCTCAGCCTCCCAAGGAGCTGGGATTACAGGTGTATGCCACCACGCCCAGCTAATTTTTGTATTTTTAGTAGAGACAGGGTTTCACCATGTTGGTCAGGCTGGTCTCGAACTCTTGACCTCAAGTGATGCACCCGCCTTGGCCTCCCAAAGTGCTGGGATTACAGGCGTGAGCCATCGCGCCCAGCCTAGAAAGAAACTTTTGTAAGCTGATAAACAGTATACATTTTTTCCTTTTTTTTTCTAAGACGGTCTCACACTCTCTCCCAGGCTGGAGTGCACTGGCAGAATCATGGCTCCCTGGAGCCTTGACTTCCCAAGTCCAAGCAATCCTCCCACTTCAACCTCCTGAGTAGCTGGGACCACAGGAGTGTGCCACCACACTCCGGTGCCACCACCACGTCTGGCTAATTTTTTTTTTTTTTTTTTTTTTTTTTAAGAGACAGATTCCCACTATGTTGCCCAGGCTGGTCTTGAACTCCTGGGTTCAAGTGATCATCCTGCCTAGGCCTCCCAAAGTGCTGGGATTACAGGCATGAGCCAGTGCACCCTGCCAAGCTTTGTGTTCTTGATGTAGAAGCTGGTAAAAAAGTAAAATTAAATAAATGAGTACAGAACAGAAAGCAGGGGCCCAAATATGAACAGCTGTGTTCATAATACTCCACAGTAGCCTAAATGTGGAAACAACCCAAATGTCCACTGAATGGTTAAATAAAAAGTGGTAGGCTGGGCACAGTGGCTCACGCCTGTAATCCCAACACTTTGGGAGGATAGGAGGGGGATTGCTTGAGCTTAGGAGTTCAAGACCAGCCTGAGCAACACTGCAAAACCTTCTCTCTACAAAATACACAAAAATTAGCTGGGTATGGTGGTGTGCGCCTGCAGTCCCAGCTTCTTGGGAGGCTGAGGTGAAAGGACCACTTGAACCCAAGAGGTCGAGGCTGCAGTGACCAGTGACTGCACAATTGCACTCTAGCCTGGGCAACAAAGTGAGACCTTGTCTCAAAAAAAAAAAAAAAAAAAAAGTAAATAAATAAATAATAAAATAAAATAGGCCAGACATAGTGGCTCATGCCTATAATCTCAGCACTTTGGGAGGCCAAGGTGGGTGGATCATTTGAGGCCAGGAGTTTGAGACCAGCCTGGCCAACATGGTGAAACACTGTCTCTACTAAAAATACAAAAAAAAGTCTGAATGTGGTGGCTCATGCCTGCCTGTAATCCCAGCACTTTGGGAGTCCGAGGTGGGAGGATCACCTGAGGTCTGAAGTTTGAGACCAGCCTGGCTAACATGGAGAAACCCCGTCTCTGCTAAAAATACAAAAAAATTAGCCAGGTATGGTGGCGGGTGCCTGTAATCCCAGCTACTTGGGAGGCTGAGGCAGGAGAATTTGTTGAACCTGGGAGGTGGAGTTTGCAGTGAGCCAAGATCACGCCACTGCACTCCAGCCTGGGCAACAAGAGCTAAAGTCCATCTCAAGCAATTCACCTGCCTCAGCCTCCCAAGTAGCTGGGACTACAGGCGCCTGCCACCACACCCGGCTAATTTTTTGTTTTTGTATTTTTAGTAGAGACAGGGTTTCACCGTGTTAGCCAGGATGGTCTCGATCTCCTGACCTCGTGATCTGCCCGCCTCGGCCTCCCAAAGTGCTGGGATTACAGGCATGAGTCACTGCGCCCAGCCAATGGCATTATTTCTAACAGTTCTGAACTAGAACACAAATGTCTATGACAGTAGGATAGATAAATTGTGGTTCAATTGAAATACATACAGTAGTGAGAAAGAATTTAGTATTGCTATACTCAACACAGGCATGAACCTCACATATTGCTTAATGAAATAAGCCAAATAGTATCTACAGTTATAATTCCATTTGAAAGTTCAAAGACAAGCAAAACTAATCTATGATAATATAAATCAGAGACAGTGTTCTGATAATGTTTGTCCCTAGGGAGAAGGAAGGACTATTACTAGGAATGGGGGGCACTCTGGAGGGCTGGTAATGTTCTAATTCTTGATCTGGGTGCTGTTACACAAGTGTTTACTTTGTGAAAACTATTTCTTTCATGCACTTTTCTACGTGAATGCCATACCTCAATTTTAAGTGTGGCATTTTTATGTCTATACCTTCTTCCTAACAAGGCAAGAACTGTAACATTTGTATACTTCCTTGATCTCCTCTACTCGCCATTATGTTGATACTGTCTAAAATTATAATTCTGGTTTATTGCTTTCTAAAAAAATCTTTCTCCCCCTATACACATCTTACCAAGGTATCTGAACACTGTTATCCCCACAGATTTTGTAGTATCTTCTGGACTTTTTGAGTATTTTTTCCAAAATTTTCAATGCGAATCATTGGCAAATCTTTTTTTTTTTTTTTTCTTGAGACGGAGTCTTGCTCTGTCACCAGGCTGGAGTGCAGTGGCCCTATCTCGGCTCACCGCAACCTCTGCCTCCAGGGTTCACGTGATTCTCTTGCCTCAGCCTCCTGAGTAGCTGGGATTACAGGCGTGCACCACCACACCCAGCTAATTTTTGTATTTTTAGTAGAGATGGGGTTTCACCATGTCGGCCAGGATGGTCTTGATCTCTTGACCTAGTGATCCGCCCACCTCAGCCTCCCAAAGAACTGGGATTACAGGCGTGAGCCACCCCACACGGCCCAGCAAATCTTTTTTTCATTTTTTAAAAAAATTTTTCAGTACCTTTAGAGGTACAAGTGGTTTTCAGTTACATGGATGAACTGCACAGTGCTGAAGTCTAGTATTCTAGTGCACCAGTCACCCAAGTCGCAAACATTGTATTCAATATGTAGTTTTTCATCCCTTCCCTGTTCCACCTTCTGAGTCTCCAATCTCTGTTATACCACTCTGTATGCCTTTGCATACCCATTTATAAGCGAGAACATGTGGTATCTGGTTTTTTTTTCCTCTGGTTCCCAAGTTTTATTCACAAACTCATACAAAATATTCCAGATAAATGAATTTTAATCCTCATCTTCCTCCTATTTGTCCTGGCTAATTTGGAAGTAACGTAATTCATAACTTTCTTCGCTGTTAGCAACTACGTGCAACCAATCACACAGATTATTCTTCTTCAAAATTTTTTTGTGAGATATTTCAAATACCTTTAGGAAAAAGTCACCTCAGAAGTCATGGTGATCTTGCTCTTGGTCCTCCACCTAGATTCCCAGCTTTTCCATTCACTTTGATCCCCTCTTGCAAAAACTGCTCAAAATTAGCAGCATCCATGATTCCATCTTCTACAGTGGGTGCAATTAAGAGTAAACTTCAGAAACCTGCTTCTTTTTTGTTTTCTGCCCTGCTTTGCCACAAGCTTTTTCATGAGTGCCATGGTGGCAGTGGAAGCAGAAAGGGGTATCTGGGTTTTTTTGTGTTTGCTTTTTGATACGGAGTCTCGCTTTGTTGCCCAGGCTGGAGTGCAATGGCACAGTCTTGGCTCACTGCAACCTCCGCCTTCCAGGTTCAAGTAATTCTCCCTGCCTCAGCCACCTGAGTAGCTGGGATGACAGGCGCCCGCCACCACACCCGGCTAATTTTTGTATTTTCAGTAGAGACAGCGTTTTGCCACGTTGGCCAGGCTGGTCTCAAACTCCTGACCTCAGGTGATCTGCCCGCCTCACCCTCCCAAATTGCTGGGATTACAGGCGTGAGCCACCACACCTGAATGTTATCTGGTTTTCAATTCCTGAGTTACTTCACTTAGAACAGCCTCCAGTTCAATACAAGTTGCTGCAAAAGACATTATTCTTTTTGTGCAGCTGAGTAGCACTCCATGATATATGTATACCACATTCTCTATCCACTCATCAATTTATGGACACTTAGGTTCATTCTATGTCTTTGCAACTGTGAATTGTGCTGCAATAAACGTGTGTGTCTTTCTGATAAAGTGACTTCTTTTCCTTTGGATAGAGATCTTTGGTAAATCTTAATGTTTTTATTAATTCCTCACATGTGAATGACAAATTTAGATAGACTAAAACTTTAAGTCCGGTACTTTAAATATGACATTATTTTCCTGCACCCAGTATTGCACTTGAGAAGACTGAAGTCAATCTTATTCTTGTTCCTTTATACATTTACTCTAAAAGCTTTTAGATTTTTCTCGTTACCTTGATACTCTTCAATTTCAGTATGTCTCTCATTTGGCACCCTATGGCCCTTTCAATCTCTATTTTTTTCCTCCTTCTAGGCCTCTTACCTGAATGTTGGCACACCTACTTCTGGCTTCCATCTTGCTTAAATCCGCTTTCATATTTCCTGTATTCTTTTTCTTGCTTCCTTCTGGTGGTTTCTCAGCCTGATTTTCCAACTAGTTTATTCTGCACCTGTATCTACCCTTTTTTTTTTTTGAGTCTCGCTCTGTTACCCAGGCTGGAGCACAGTGGTGTGATCTTGGCTCACTGCAACCTCCACCTCCCGGGTTCAATTCTCTGCCTCAGCCTCCCGGGTAGCTAGGAATACAGGCACCCACCACCATGCCCAGCTAATTTTGGTATTTTTAGTAGAGACAGGGTTACACCATCTTGCAGGCTTGGTCTTGAACTCCTGACCTCATGATCCACCTGCCTCGGCCTCCCAAAGTGCTGGGATTACAGGCATGAGCCACCACACCTGGCCTCTATCCTTTTACTCCATTTATTATGTTATTTACTTTAAATGTTTCATTATTTCCTGTATCACGTTGCTAACATCTTTTAATGTTTATTAGTTTCATTTTAGATTCTGAAAGTCTTATGTAATCCAGTTTTCTTTTGAACCAGTAGTATCTTTCGGTTATCATATTGTTTGTGAACTCACTTACCTGGTGGTATGAGATCTTCTGAGTGAGAGTATGCACTGCAGAAGGACTGATGGCCAACCCTCTAGTTGGTATTAAGGGTTCAAAGAGAGGGAAGGGGACAAGCCCCATGTTGGAGAGCCCTAGCACTACAAAACCACTGCTATTTATTTCAATGTGTAATCTTTTAGGACAGGGCTTCTTCCTTTGGACACCCTGAGAAAAATGGCAATGAGAAGAGGCACTTCCTAGAGTCTAGGGCCTAGATTATTAACTGAGAAGTTCTGTGAGTCTGAAGGCTGAAGGGTGAAGAAGTAATGCCCAAGCTAATCAATCCTTACACCTGTTTTCTCCAAAGCTTCACCCAAAAAGCTCTTGTGCTACTCTAATTTTATCTGTGAGGACACCTGCAGCAGAGATATGGTTCACCGTTCTAGTACTTGCTGTGAGAAGGCAGGCAACAGCAATCAGTTTTCTCAATCTACTCAGAACCATTCAGCCAGCCACACCCCAACCAGGAACCACTTCAAAATTGCACCCTACGTCCCCTAGGACTTTTACCTCTTTTGATTTTTTAAATTATTACCTAAACACAATAAAAGTAAAAGAAACATTCGAATCAAAATACAACAAAACTTTACATGGTTTTATTATACATTACTGTTATTGAAAGCAAACTTTATACAAAAAGTTTTATACAGATAAAAAAAATCCTTGGCTAGGCAAAGCCGTTTATGTGTGTGCATATACAGAAACACACATACATACATATACACACGGTATTTTACATCATAATTATACATATTTATAAATACATTATTTAAATTATTTTACAATATACCAAAACAAGGAGGCAATTATAAAAGCAAATAAAAAATGGATGAACAATTGAACTAAATAGTCACTAAGTTTAAAATGCTACAAAACTATTTTTTTAATCTAGAAAGTCATTTCTTTAAAATATCAAAACTAAGATTTCAATACATCACTGTTGCTTTCATTTTGGTAAGTTCTAACATGTTTAAAAATAAATATTTTGACCAAAAACAGATAAGCAAATCAGAATGATGACTAGCACAAGCTGAACATGCTGATGTGAAATTAGAGAGTCACTGAGTAATAACAAATATAGATTATCATCTGGTAACCAAAAAGGTGATAAACCTCCCTCTAGTGCTCATTTAAAACATGAGGAATTTGAAGCTTCTGTGTAGTATGCAATATCAGTTAAGAGTCCCAGGAATTCAGCAACTTATCTGTAATGTAAGAAAATGCTAAAGTTATTATTCTATTTTTCTGATAGGACTATCTCATAATGTGTTATCTTAAATGAGCTCCATTTAGACGATATTGGTGTTTAATAAACTAGCTTTCTCATCTTCCAATTGGTCTCAAAATTTAAAAAAAAACCTAGCTTTTGCAATCAGTTTGGTAACTATCATTATACTTGATATTGACAAAAATTTAATAGGACTACAGTACTTGTGGGGAAAAAAAATCAGTTAAGAGGCAAGCTACGAATGAAATAACCCACAATATGTGCTATCCTGCAAGCAAAGAAATCTCAAATATCAAATTCATTAAATGGTTTTAGATTTTTGGCCAGGTGCAGTAGCTTACGCCTGTAATCTGAGCACTTTGGGAGGCCAAGGCAGATGGATCGCTTGAATCCAGGAGTTCGAGACCAGCCTGGGCAACACAGCGAAACCCCATCTCTGTTTAAAAGAATTTACATTCTCTTCACAAGAGAACGGAAATCATACTTTAATATAACATTAAGGTAAAAAAAAGAAACGATTTAATTTCTTAAAGGCAGCAAAAATCTTAAAAAGCACAGTTAATCTAATAAATAATCAAGCCACTTTTGCCCAGAGCTTTTTAAAAAAAAGTTCTTTAGAATAAGCTTCTTCTCCAAATTCCCCATTATTCAAGCTTACAGTATTCTGTTGTGTTTTGTTCAAGTGATTCTCCTGCCTCAGGCTCCCAAGTAGCTGGGATTACAGGCACGTTCCACCATACCCAGCTAATTTTTGTAATTTTGGTAGAAATGAAGTATCATCATGTTGGCTGGGCTGGTCTCGAACTCCTGAACTCAGGTGACCTGCCCACCTTAGCCTCCCAAAGTGCTCGGATTACAGGCATGAGCCACTGCACCCGGCAACATTCTGAATTATATAAGTAGAAATTTAACGTCATAATCACTTGAACCCGAGAGGCAGAAGTTGCAGTGAGCTGCGATCATGCGGCTGCACTCCAGCCCGGGCGACAGAGTGAGACTCCGTCTCAGAACAAACAAAAGAAATTTAACATCATAGTAAACTACTACACATATTTTGAAGATTTCACTAGCACTGCGCTCTATGTCCAAATCAAGTTTTTGTTTTTTTTTTCTTTTCTTTCTGAGAGGCAGAGTCTCACTCTTTCAGGCTGGAGTGTAGTGGCGCAATCTTGGCTCACCGCAACCTCCACCTCCCAGGTTCAAGCGATTCTCATGCCTCAGTCTCCCAAGTAGCTGGGATTACAGACACGTGCCACCATGCCTAGCTAATTTTTGTATTTTTTGTAGAGATGGGGTTTCACCATGTTGGCCAGGCTGGTATAGAACTCCTGGCCTCAAATGATCTGCCCACCTCGGCCTCCCAAAGTGCTGGGATTACAGGTGTGCCACTGTGCCCGGCTCTGTATGTCCAAATATAGTTGCTATTCAGATTTAATTCAAACTTCATTTAAAACTGCATGTTTTGCATTCAAATAATTAGGACAGCAAATCAATTAAAAATATTGTGATACATTAAATATCTTTAAAATTTTGCTTACATAAAAATCCAAAATATTTAAGCAATTGGCAGAGATCCTACAGAAAAAACCTGCTGGTAATTTATTTACTTACTTAGGTTTTAGAGACTGGATCTCACTATATTGCCCAGGCTGGAGTGTATTGGTTATTCACAGGCACAATCCTAGTACCCTAGCCTCAGATTTCTGGGCTCAAGCAATCCTCTTGCCTCAGCCTCTCGAGTAGCTGGGACTATAGGTGGGTACCACCACACCCAGCCTTCTGCTGATAATTTAAATATTATTGCCCTAATAAGCCTGTATGTACAAGAAAGACTTGTACGACAAGTACAAAAACAAAAACTGAGGAAACATGTCTGTGAACATTATTAACAATTTAATATGGTAAATCATGTCATCAATTGGGATGACAAACTTTATAAATGTTTTGTATTTTAATTAGCACTAATTAAAAATGTGAGAAACATTAAATTACCATCACTACACAGACTTCACTGCTTATGAACCACATTCTGCTTTTCAAGAATGTTTGATTTATCTATAAAAACTTTATTATTAATCAAATGGATTTCCCCCCACCTTAGACTCATCAGCAATCAGAAGGTTGAGGAGAGATGCCATGCTGATCTGAACTGCAGCAGGCTTCACTCTGAGCACGTCCCTGTGGATGAGGTCACCTTAGATGCCTGCTCGAGCAATCATCCTCCAACCTGTGACTGAAGCAGGAACTCAACTGGATGTCTCTCACCCACTATTCACATCTTCAATGACTAACAGGCCATTAACTGCACAACTACAGTGTCAAACATTTATTTTACTAGTCTCCTGTAGTGTAACCATTAACTACCTGCATTTTGACTTTTCAAAGAGCTTCATTAGCTGCTGGAATCTTTCTGAGACCTGAAAATTTAAAAATGAATGTTAATTACAAATACCTCAGTAATCTTTTTTCATCTTTGAAGAATACTTTCGTAAGACAGCTAAAGACAGACAAAGTCATCTTCAATAATAAAGAGATGAACTAATGTTTAGAAAAATATCTTCATGGCCAGGTGTGGTGGCTCATGCCTGTAATCCCAGCACTTTGGGAGGCCGAGGCAGGCGGATTACCTGAGGTCGGGAATTCAAGACCAGCCTGACCAACACGGAGAAACCCCGTCTCTACTAAAAATACAAAATTAGCCAGGCATGGTGGTGCATGCCTGTAATCCCAGCTACTCAGGAGGCTGAGGCAGGAGAATCACTTGAACCCGGGAGGCGGAGGTTGCAGTGAGCCGAGATCGCACCATTGCACTACAGCCTGGGCAACAAGAGTGAAACTCCGTCTTAAAAAAAAAAAAAAAGAAAAATATCTTCATACTAAAGGTGATTACTAGTTAACTTTTCAATATTGAACTTTTTTTTTTTTTTTTGAGATGGAGTTTCACTCTTGTTGCCCAGGCTGGAGTGCAATGGCATGATCTCGGCTCACTGCAACCTCCACCTCCCGGGTTCAAGCGATTCTCCTGCCTCAGCTTCCTGAGTAGCTGGGATTATAGGCATAAGCCACCAAACCTGGCTAATTTTTTTTGTATTTTTAGTAGAGACGTGGTTTCTCCATGTTGGTCAGGCTGGTCTTGAACTCCCGACCTCAGGTGATCCGCCTGCCTCAGCCTCCCAAAGTGCTGGGATTACAGGCGTGAGCCACTGCACCAGGCTTTTTTTTTTTTTTTTTTTTTTTAAGAGACAGAGTCTTGCTGTCACCCGGGCTGGAGTGTGCAGTGTCAAGAGCATAGCTTACTATAACCTGGGCCGAAGCAATCCTCCCAGTCGGCCTTCCATAGTGCTGGGATTACAAACATTAATATTTCTTAAACAAGCAAACATCAGTTTACAAAACAATCAGGATTGTCTCAGTCATACTTCTTCCACAGTTAACAAGTTTTTAACAGTCCTACGCTGAGCCATACTTTTAAAGAGGCTGGCTAATAAATATCTACATATTCTAACACTCAAAAAGTAAATCTAAGCCAGCTCAGGAGTTCAAATCTAGCCTGGGCACCATAATGAGACTCCATCTCTTTTTTTTTTTTTTTTTTTGAGACAGAGTCTCGCTCTGTTGCCCAGGCTGGAGTGCAGTGGCACGATCTCGGCTCACTGCAAGCTCCGCCTCCCGGGTTCACGCCATTCTCCTGCCTCAGCCTCCTGAGTAGCTGGGACTACAGGCACCCGCCACTGTGCCCGGCTAATTTTTTGTATTTTTAGTAGAGACGGGGTTTCACCATGTTAGCCAGGATGGTCTCAATCTCCTGACCTTGTGATCTGCCCTCCTCGGCCTCCCAAAGTGCTGGGATTACAGGCGTGAGCCATCGCGCCTGGCCTGACTCCATCTCTTAAAACATTTTTTTCACGCCTGTAATCCCAGCACTTTGGGAGGCCGAGGTGAGCAGATCACATGAGACCCAGAGTTCAAGACCAGCCTGGCCAACACAGCAAAACTCCGCCTCTCTAGTAATCTACTAAACATACAAAAAATTAGCTGGGTGTGGTGGCACACACCTGTAATCCCAGATACTCGGGTGGCTTAAGCACAAGAATCACTTGAACCCAGGAGGTGGCGGCTGCAGTGAGCCAAGATCACGCCATTGCACTCCAGTAAGGTCAACAAAGCAAGACTCTGTTTCCAAAAAAAAAAGACTGAATGAAACTAACTTTAATTCAAAAAGAAAAAAAATTCAATCTAAACATTTATTTATTTACTTTTGTCTGAAACAGGGTCTCACTCTGTCTCAAGCTGGTGTGCAGTTGCATGATCACAGCTCACTGTAGCCTCAACCTCCTGGGCTCAAGTGATCAATTTGCCTCAGCCTCCCGAGTAGCTGGGACTACAGGTGCATGTCACCATGTCCTGCTATTTTTTTTGTTTTTTGTAGAGACATGGTCTCACTATATTGGCCAGGGTGGCCTTGATCTCCTGGGCTCAAGCGATCCTCCCTCCTCAGCCTTCCGAGCTGAGACCACAGGTGCACACGACAGCACCCACTAATTTTTTAAAATTTTTCTGTAGAGGCAGAAGTCTTACCTTGTTGCCCGGATGGTCTCGAACTCCTGGCTTCAAGGGATCCTCCCACCTTGGCTGTGCTGGGATTATAGCTGTGAGTTACCACACCTAGCCTAAATCTTAAGTATTTAGAGTAGCAACATCTGTGAACCAATAGAGATGTAAAAATTGGGTAGTTACCTGATTTGGATTTTTATCCAACTTGGCGGCTAAATATGCAAATGTTTTAAATGATGGCCCTCTTTTCTGACACTCCAATAAAATTTCCCGGTCATCATTTCTGAGGAGGAAAAAATTGTATTTAGTTTTAGTACACTGTATTAGAAAGGTAATAAAAATCCCACTGCCTTGAAGTCCACCAACCAGGGAAATTTAAACCCATAGGAAAAAGGAAAAGTGTATATACCAAAATATGGACAATGGGTGTCTCTGAGAAATAAGATTTAGATGATTTTGTTCTGAGTTCATATGTATTCTATAACAAATCTACTGATTTTCTTAATGACAAAATTAAAGTATTTCTTTTTAATTCTACCTTTAATGTATACACTAAAAAACTTAGGGCCCAAAGATGGTCACAGACATAATAAGCAGAAGAACCAGAACTAAAATAGAATCCTATCTTCTAATTCCCAGACCTCTGCTTTTTCTACATACTCTGACCAAATGGGTATTAATACAATTGCTGAGATATTATACTGCCATCTGCAAAGTTACCTGCAATGGGGATTTGAGGACTGTGGAATTAACAAAACTGATCACCAGTTTTCACAAAACTCAGCTTCTCTCATTCAGCATTCTAGTCAAGTATATCTACCTCTAGTCCAATGATTCATAACTGGTTACTTTTACATCTGAATGGGGTCTTGATTTTCTTAAACAGTTCATATAAAACTCAAAAGTGTACAGGCACAGCATCTCATGCCTGTAATCCAGTACTTCCTACCTACAATCCAGCCTGACCAACACGGAGAAACCCTGTCTCTACTAAAAATACAAAATTAGCTGGGTGTGCCCTTGTAATTCCAGCTACTCGGGAGGCTGAGGCAGGAGAATCACTTGAACCCGGGAGGCAGAGGTTGCAGTGAGCCAAGATGGTACCATTGCACTCGAGTCTGGGCAACAAGAGTGAAACTCAAACAAACAAACAAACAAACAAACAAACAAAAACCCTCAAAAGTACAACCGGTTTACAAAACTGTAAACTTCTAATCTGGAGGAAAAATCAAACTATTAGGTTGCTGCAAAAGTAATTGTGGTTTTGCAGCACCAACCTATACCAACACTCGATTTTTTGCTGTGTTTCATCACTTGTCATTCCTTCTAAGATGTGCTTACAGCAGTTCCTTCCAAATGAAGTAAGTTTTTAATTTAAACAGTGAAGTTAAAACACACTTTTTCCCTTCACTTTTTAACTTTTTTTCACTTCACTTTTCTTTTTTTAACTTCACAATAGAGCTTTTCGAAGTGAAAAGCTATATCCATGGTATTACTGCACACCTCTGGTTAAGAGCCACTGTTCTAGATTGTACAACAGTACAGCAGGTCTGTACTCTAGAATGTATCTTCAACTACCTTTGGCCACTTTTGAAGTCCTCATTTTCCTTATTTTAGGATGATAAAGCTATGAAGACATGACAGATTAGATATCTTTAGGTTTTCTTTTCTTTTTTTCCAGAGGGAGTCTCGCACTGTCACCCAGGCTGGAGGGCAGTGGCGTGATCTCAGCTCACTGCAAGCTCCGCCTCCCAGGTTCACGGCCATTCTCCTGCCTCAGCCTTCTGAGTAGCTGGGACTACAGGTGCCTGCCACCATGCCTGGCTAGGTAACTTTAGGTTTTTTTTTTTTTTTTTGAGACAGAGTTTTGCTCTGTCACCCAGGCTGGAGTACAACCTTCGCCTCCCAGGCTCAAGTGATCCTCCTGCCTCAGCCTCCCAAGTAGCTGGGACCACAGGCCTGCACCACCACGCCTGGCTAATTTTTGTATTTTTTTTCTTTTTTTTTTTTAAGACAGTCTCGCTCTGTTGCCCAGGCTAGAATGCAGTGGCGCCATCTCGGCTCACTGCAAGCTCTGCCCCCCGGGTTCATGCCATTCTCCTGCCTCAGCCTCCCAACTAGCTGGAACTGCAGGTGCATGCCACCACGTCTGGCTAAGTTTTGTATTTTTGGTAGAGATTGGGTTTCACCATGTTAGCCAGGATGGTCTCAATCTCCTGACCTCATGATCCGCCCGCTTCAGCCTCCCAAAGTGCTGGGATTACAGGCGTGAGCCACTGCGCCCGGCCCTAATTTTTGTATTTTTTTGTAGAGACAGAATTTCGCCATGTTGCTCAAGCTGGTCCCAAACTCCTGGGCTCAAGTGATCCACCTGCCTCAGCGTCCCAAAGTATTGGGATTACAGGCATGAGCCACTGCGCCCAGCCAGACAGATTAGATTTCTGAGTGCAAAATTTCCTGGTGATTTCAATGTCTCACAAGATTCTTACCTTGTCCATAAAATGATAATTTCTCCCTTCTTTTTAATAACATTTTTTGCAGAAAGACTTGTAGAAGTGGCAAGTGCTGCTGATGAATCCTTAATCCCTGGGGTTGCCTTTAATGATGAGGGATCTTTAGTCACAGGAGGGGCCTTCTTCTTACTGGCTTTCTTTTGGTGAGCTTCAGTATTCTCACAAGAATCTTGGGTAGGTTTCTTGGTCTTTTCCTTATTAGTTAAGTCTGTTTCCTTTCTTTGTTTTTTATGAGGATGATTTAGATCAGAAATGTTTCTTCTCTTTTTGTGAGAATTATGCAAAGTCCCAGGCAACTCCGAGTTATCACAATTTGATCCTGGCTCTGATTTTAACTCATCTTTTTTTACTTCACATGAACTGGGAGATTCTGTGGTCAAGTCGATATAGGTTTCCTCAACAATGCATTTTAAAGGCCTGTTTGCCACTTGTGCCTTTTCTTCCTTACAATTATCTTCATCTACCTGTATCACCCCACATCCCAAGTCTTCCACAGCTAATGCAGGATGATTACCTTCACTTTTAGCCTCACTTGAAGCATCTTGTGTCAAATCAATAAAAGCACCTACAGTATCAGCCTGCAAAGAATTGTCTAATATTTGAGCACTCTGATTTAAATTGCCTCCAGAACATCCCAACTGATCAATATGTAAAACTGTTACTTCTATGAATTCCCCCAAGTTTTTGGTTTCAGTGACTGGATCTTTCGTTAGATCTACGTATGTGTTTGGAAGATGTTCCCCAACAGAGTGTGAGATTTCTTCCATTGAAGGCAATTCTTCAATGCTTTCAGGCACTTTTGTTTCCCATACTTGATGCAATTTGAAACATTCATCAGCCACTTCATCACTATGACCCATCTTATCTGAAGCATCTTTAAGAAATTCATATATATCAGGAACCTGTGTTTGTATCATAGAGCTCTGTTCTTCATGAGTTGACTTGCTGCCATCAACATTTTTGTTGGAGTTTTCCAATTCCTCCACAGATTTAAAAACTGTGTTCTGACATGAAATATATTCTTTCTCTGGTCCTTCATCAGCTTCCTTTCCATGTCTGGGCAAAGATGTCAATAATTCATCAGGCATCATACTCTGTTTAAGGCCAGAAGAGGTAGATGGTGTTGCACGTCGTATTTTCACAATGAAATGATCATTGGACTTTTCCATTATGACGGCATGCATAGGTAGATTAGGGTGGTACTGAAAGCCTGGAGCAACAGATCGGCTTGTCCAGGAAGAAGAACAACTTGATTTACTGCTTGAATTATCAGACTCCAGAGCTAAATGAATATCTTGCTCAGATGCATCCTCTTCCTCAAGTAAGGCATCTTCACTAAAATGAGCACTAATGACTTCTTCAGGAGTTGAACTGGACGACATATCAGGCTTTAAAAAACTGAGATGACCATCTGACTTCAGAGGCGATGGTACTGTTAAAGAGACTGCTAGATCTTCAAGAAGTATGGAAGAAACGCAGGGCTTGCTCTTTTCTACACTACACACATTATCTTTACTTAAAGGTAGGTTAGTAGACACTTCAAACATACAACTTTCATCCAACACATCAGGATGAACCGGCAATGAAAGCCCTGAAGACAGAGATGGACCTTTTTCAGATGATAATAATGACCAATTATCATCACTAATCATTTTAGGACATGGAGAAGCCACCCCTGAAACTAGCTCTTCTGTTGTACAAGCTGGTATAGACTCGCACTTAAGAGTCTCTAGCAGCTGCTTCTCTGGAGTCTTTAACTCCCACTCACTTTTTTCAGTACAGTTAACACTGCTGTCTAAAAGATCAGAACCTTGCAACAAACTTTTAAATATTTCACCCATTTGTGCATCACTCACTAAATTAAAAGTAAGGCTCGATGCTTGCTGTTCGGTAAGAATCTCGAAACTTCGTTCTGGCTTCAAAGTTGCATGCTGGGATGTCTGTGCATCCTCTATGCTGCTTCCTTCGTTTTTTTCTGACTTTGGGGTGCTTGGACAGTGTACTTCCAAGGAGCGCTCTTCGGATTGAGAGTTCTTTATATTATCAAAGCAGATGTTAAAATTTTTTTTAATGTCATGCTTTACAGTGTTAATACTGGAGTTATTTTGGTCTTGATAATTTTCCTCAGATTTTTTACATCCCACTAAAGACTTATAATGAACAGGGTCTTCTGATTTTGATAATTTTTCTTTCAGCAATTCTCTGTTGGAGTTGTCCACACTCCTTTTCTGACTATTTGAATACTGTGCATTCTGTTTACTTGTTTTTTCAAGTTTGCCTTCATCACTATCTCTTCCAAAGCTTTTGGAATCACATACTAAGATTTTCTTAAGCTTTGCAAACAAATAATCAAGTTGGTCATCTACAAACTTCCACAATTTTTTTTTCATATCTGGTAGTTGCTGTTCAAATAAACGATCAACTATGCCATTCTTTTTAACTTGCTTAAGTTTAGACTCTATAATATCACAGAGATTCTTCTGTAAGGTAGTCACTGACTTAGAGATTTTGTGTAAGTTGAGATGTTTAATTAAAGATGTAAAACTCAAAATTGCTGACTCAATAATTCTGTGAAATTGTATTAATGAAAATTTTGCCTTGAATTTCATATAATTTTTTCTTACATGTTTTCTTATCATTCGTAACATGTGCATGATCTCTTGTTCAGAAGAGGGTACAGCAATAATTGGAACTATTTTTTCCAAGCTGGAAGTGCTCATCACTTTATCTTTCTTCTCTGTTTTTGAAGATCTGCTAGATTTATCAGGTCTTTTATTCCATTTGTTATTGGTCTGATGGATTCTTACATGTGTTTTCCTACTGTCTTTATCTAAACACACAGTACTTTTCCCACGTCGTGGGATAGTCTTTGACTTCCGCACATCAGCTGACACTCTACGTTTGGAATTTTTTTCAAAACTTTCTTGTGGTTTAGATGTTTCACTATCACTTCTAATTTCTCCTTCTTCTAATTCATCTAATGGTGAATTCTTACATGTGTCTGCTTCTGTACATTTGTCAGATTTGTAAATTGGCTTTTGATTTTCCTTATTGAGATCAGACTGACTCTTAGAGGTAGAATGAGCTGAATTTGGTAAAAACACATCTGTAGAAGAGAAAAATATATTAAACACATTTATAGAAGATAAAAGTATATTAAAGTTTAGTTATTTGACATGTCCATATTAAATATTACATATAACAAAAAATTAAATACTGAGGCAATTCACTGTTTGTTTTTTTTGTTTTTTGAGATGGAGTCTCGCTCTGTCGCCCAGGCTGGAGTGCAGTGGTGCAACCTTGGCTCACTGCAAGCTCCGCCTCGTGGGTTCATGCCATTCTCCTGTCTCAGCCTCGCGAGTATCTGAGACTACAGGTGCCCGCCACCACGTCTGACTAATTTTTTTGTATTTTTAGTAGAGACGGGGTTTCACCGTGTTAGCCAGGATGGTCTCGATCTCCTGACCTCGTGATCTGCCCGCCTTGGCCTCCCAAAGTGCTGGGATTACAGGCGTGAGCCACTGCGCCCAGCCGGCAATTCACTGTTTTACTAGTTCTTTTTGAAGCAGAATGTTAATGCCTAATACTTGTATTATTGATTTTTTTTTTGAGAACGAAGTCTTGCTATGACACTCAGGATGGAATGCAGTGGCGCAATCTTGGCTCACTGCAACCTCTACCTCCCGGGTTCAAGCCAATTCTCCTGCCTCAGCCTCCTGAGTAGCTGGGACTACAGGCGACTGCTCCCACGCCCAGCTAATTTTTGTATTTTTTAGTAGAGATAGGGTTTCACCACACTGGCCAGGCTGGTCTCGAACTCCTGACTTCATGATCTACCTGCCTCAGCCTCCCTAAGTGCTAGGATTACAGGTGTGAGCCACCATGCCCCGCCTGTATCATTGGTTTTTATTGACCTTAAAAAGTGCTTGGGGCCAGGTGTGGTGGCTCACGCCTGTAATCCCAGCACTTTGGGAGGCTGAGGAGGGCTGATCACGAGGTCAAGAGATCCAGACCAACCTGACCAACATGGTGAAACCCCATCTCTACTAACACAAAAATGAGCATAGTGGCAGGTGCCTGCAATCCCAGCTACTTGGGAGGCTGAGGCAGGAGAATCGCTTGGGCCTGGGAGGCGGAGGTTGCAGTGAGCTGAGATCGCACCACTGCACTCTAGCCTGGCGACAGAGTGACTCTCTCTCAAAAAAAAAAAAAAAAAAAAGAAACAAAAAAACAACTATGGCTGGGTGCAGTGGCTCACGCCTATAGTCCCAACACTTTGGGAGGCCGAGACGGGCGGATCACGAGGTCAGGAGTTCAAGACCAGCCTGCCCAATATGGTGAAACCCTGACTCTACTAAAAAAAATACAAAAATTAGCTGGGAGTGGTGGCACGCGCCTGTAGTCCCAGCTACTTGGGAGGCTGAGGCAGGAGAATTGCTTGAACTCAGGAGGCAGAGGTTGCAGTGAGCCAAGATTGTGCACACTGCACTCCAGCCTGGGGGACAGAGTGAGACTTCATCTAAAAAAAACCAAAAAACAAAAAAACCCTCCATGTGCACTTCTAGATAACAGGGGCTGAGTAATATGCTACTTTTTATGTTATCAAAAAAGAAAAAGCACCAATTCATCTTATGTATTTTACATTCTCATAAAATGCAAAGTTATAGAAGATAATACAAACTATTACCTTTATGACTGTTATTATACACTGGAACTTGAGGTGGGCTTTCATTTCTAAGAACTTTTGCTACAGGTCTCACTGGACTATTCAGAGGACTGATGGCTTCTGGAATAGGTCTCAGGTGATTAAGGTCAATGCTCAAAACCGAGTTATCATCATCATGATATACTGAGTTTGTTTCACCAGTTGCCATTCTGTGGTCCATTAACTCAGTCTGCTGAAGTGAAGAATCTAGAGTCTCTTTAGGTAAGCAAGGCTCCAGATGACACGACTTACTCTCAACCAGTGGTGTAACTATAACAGAAGGCTCAAATTTTGGGTTATTATCTTCTGAAAGCATTATTGGCAAAATATCAGCTTCCTCAATTGAAGGCTGCAAAATGCTTTCAGTGGTTTCACTCACTGTTGTTGAAAGTGCCACCTTCATCTCCATACCTTCAGAAATACCACAATAATCTGAATTATCATTTCTTTTGGTATCCAATTCCAAGCCAAAGTTTTGAGACACATCTGTTTGTAATACATCCATTACCACAGGAGCTGCTGCCCTTCCATTATTAATGGTTTGTTTCATTCCTGTTGATGGAAACAAGGATTCTGTCTGTTGTATTTCCATAGGAGATGGGAAGGAAGTCTCTGTACCACAAATGGGCTCTTCACAATGCATAGTATTGTCAACAGACCTAACTAACAAACTATTTTCGTCTTCCTTGTTGGTTTCTGAGATACCGATCCTGGGTTCAGTCACTGCTAGAAGAGCAACCTTTGGTTCCAATAACGTTGACTTGGTTTCCCCCATGGTATGTTCACTGACAGCTGCTTCCCCCAAGATATGTTCACTTATGGAGGGAACATATGCCACTGTTTTAACTTGCATTGAAGACTCTGAATCACATACACCACTGGACTTGGGAATATCAGTTATTTTATGCTGATTATCCTGGGAAACAGGTTGCTTTTTAGCAGGAGAAAGAGTTAAGTTCAATTTTTTCATAAAACTCAATTTTAGGTCCTTGTTTTTTGTTTCATTTGGACCACTCTCAGCTTTCATTGCAAGCTCTTTATTATCTGCTCCTTCAGAAACACCATTATCAAGGACTTCTCCCTTATCAGTCTTTGGTTCATTCTGTTTCTTTAAATCAGTAGTGGTTTTCTTAGTTTCCTTATTAGTCTTCTGCAAATGTTCTGTAGGTACTCTTTTTTCATTTCTAATATGCCTATTTTCTTCTTTGCTTTCTTGTTCTCTTTTCCTCTTATCTTCAGTTCTATGTCTTTCTGCTTTTAAAGGTGTATTTTCCCACTGATGCATGGCATCAACTTCCTTAGAGTCAATGTTTTTGTGAGTTCTACTGTTTGAAAGAGAAGATGGACATCTTCCATCTTGAAAACTATGACTGTTTACACTCTTGTCTCTTTTACAATCTTCCCATCCTCTTCTCTCTTCTAGATGGTATTTACTTGAATTATGAGAAAATGTTATTTCATTCTTGGAATGAGGAAGTGATGCTCGTTCAGATCTTCTCCAGTGATCTTGGTCCTTTACTACTGATTTAGGTTTTTGATCAACTTTTCTTTCTTCTTTGTCTTGTGATTTAACTTCTTTCCTATTTATATTTTGTGATCTTTCACTTTGTCTTTCTAGTTTTTTGTCACTTTGAGAGTCTACTCGACTGTGTGACCTTTCTCCAGGGGTCTCTTTCTCCCAAGAAGAGTTAATGCGTTCACCTTTATAGTCAGAATCTGAGTTACTTTTAAACTTCGAACTTTTGCTTTCAGTCTTTGGTTCACCTTTACCATATTTCTCAGGATGTCCTTGTAGCCTTTGACTAGCCTCCAATATCCTTGGTTCACCATCACCACAGCCAGTACTTAAGTCTTTTCGTACTCTTTCAGTTCCTCTGTTAAACTGGCTATGTCTAATATCTTTTCTTCCTCTTCTACTATCCTCATTTGAGCTACCCTCGCCAACCTGATAATGAGAACGTGACCAAACACCATTAGTGCAGTGTTTCTCAACAGATGTAGGTAAATGTGAAGTACTCCTTTTATCAGAATGTGGTTTTCCTTCCTTTTCCAGATTTGGCAGTGAAGTGCTATGATGTACATCTTTAGAAACATCACTTTTAGCTCTGTGATCAGTCTTTGAACAATCATCCAAATGTGGAGATCTAGATTTAAGATCTTTTGTTTTAACTGTATCAAATGTCCTTGCAGTTTTATGATTATTTCGAAAATGTGGAAACTCAGACAATCTATTATGAAATAAAAAAAAAAGTTAAATTATATTTAGCAATATTCCAAACTTCATTCACATGAGTAATTCATGATTAAGAAATTACCAGCTTTGGCCAGGCATGGTAGCTCATGCCTATAATCCCAGCACTTTGAGAGGCCGAGGCAGGTAGATCACTTGAGGTCAGGAGTTTGAGACCAGCCTGGCCAACATGGCGAAACCCCGTCTCTACCAAAAATACAAAAAAATTAGCCAAGCGTGGTGGCAGGCACCTGTAATCCCAGCTACTTGGGAGCTGAAGCAGGAGAATTGCTTGAACCTGGGAGGTGGAGGTTGCAGTGAGCCGAGACTGCGCCACTGTATTCCAGCCTGGGTGACAGGGCAAGACTCTGTCTCAGCCTCAACCTCCTGGTTGAGAAAGAAATTACCAGCTTTGGCCAGATGTGGTGGCTCATGCCTCTAATATCAGCACTTGAGGAGGACAAGGCGGGAGGATCATTTGTTTGAGCCCAGGAGTTCATGATCAGCCTGGGCAACATGGTGACATCCTGTCTCTAAAAAAATTTTTTGTTTTAATTAGCCAGGCATAGTGGTACATGCCTGTGGTCCTAGCTACTCGGAAGGCTGAGGTGGGAGGATCACTTAAGACCAGGAGGTTGAGGCTGCAATGAGCCATGATTGCGCTATTGCACTCCAGCCTGGGTGACAGAACGAAGTGAGACCCTGTCCCTAAAAAAAAGAAGAAAAAGAAATTACCAGCTTCCAACTAAATTAGCCTGTTTTTAAAACATGAAATTCTCTTTCATGTGCCTTGCTCAAATAAGTTTTGAGGACCTGAGGATCTATCCCAATACTTGCCAATGGCTCTTAGACTTACTTCACTACAGTGCATAACTCCCCAGCTAACCACAAGTTCACTTCTTTTAGAACAAGTGACATTATTTTCTTGCCTTATTCATTCTAGCTCAACTGAAACACAAGGAAAAGTAAAATCTTGCTAAACAACAGACATGAACAAAGTAAAACTCTACATAATTCTCTATCCTAGTTTTCTGTTTCACATACAATCCCACAGCAAGCCAAAGCACCAAAGGCCATCTTAAGATGTTATATACTACGCAAAGTAAAAAGGAATAAAGAGTTGTAATTCTTTCCTAGGAGAATGGTATATATTTACTGTTTAAAACAAACAAAAATCTAAGTCTTAAGGTTTTATATTAGTGTTTAAAAAAACTGGTAGGTTTCCTAGCAATAAAATGTAGATAGCTCAATTTAGCTTTTTTTTTTTTTTTTTTTTTTTTTGAGACAGGGTCTCCCTCTTTCACCCAGGCTGAGTACAGCGGAATGATCATGGCTCACTGCAGCCTTGATGTCCTAGGCTCAAGCAATCCTCTCACTTCAACCTTCCAAGTAGCTGGGACTACAGGTACAAGCCACCATGCCCAGCTAATTTTTAATTTTTCGTAGAGATGGGATCTCACTATGCTGCGCAGGCTGGTCTCAAACTCCTGGACTCAAGCAATTCTCCTGCCTTCGCCTCCCAAAGTACTGGGGTTACAGGCGTGAGCCACTGTGCCTGGCCTATATTGGCTTCTGGTAATAACTTCATCTTCCAGAAATTCCATAATTTCTCTGAAATTTCATATATCTTTTTCTAATCAGTAGCAAATGTGTAGAAAAACCCAAAACTTAAAAAACTCAGAAATATAGGCAGATTGTTATAAGAGAGGATTAGAAAAACACACAACCTAAAACAATATGTAAGCCTCATATGAACCCTGTTATGGATTGTGTCCCCTCTCCTGACCAAATTCATAATTTGAAGTTCTAACCCATTGTTCTTCAGAATATGACCTTATTTAAAGGGTCTTTACAGAAATAATCAAGTTAAAGTGATGTCCTCAAGGTGGGCATGCAATATTACTGGTGTTCTTATAAAAAGGGGGAAATTTGGACACAGAGATACATTTAGAAAGAGGATATAAAGAGACATAGGAAGTAGACAACCATCTAAGAGTACAGAGGCCTGAATCAGATCCTTCCTTCAGAGCTCTCAAAAGAAACTAACTTTGCTGACACTTTCATTTTGGACTTCTAGCCTCCAGGACTGTGAGACAAATTTTGGTTGTTTAGGCCACCCATTTCTGGTAGTTTTGTTACACTAAGCCTAGGAAACTAATATAGATACTGACTCAACCGACCAACTGTTGGTAGATACCTTTGAGATCATTGGGGAAATGTAAACACGAAAAGCACTAACCACAAAAGGAACACCCTTGAAGCTGGGTGCAGTGGCTCATACCTGTAATCCCAGTACTTTGGAGGGCCAGGCGGGCAGATCACTTGAGATCAGGAGTTTGAGACCAGCCTGGCCAAAATGGTGAAACCCCGTCTACTAAAAATACAAAAAAATCTTTTTTTTTTTTTAAATTTTTTTTTACAGGTGGTGCATGCCTGTAATCCCAGCTACTCGGGAGACTGAGGTGGGAGGATCGCTTGAACCCAGCAGGCAAAGGTTGCAATGAGCTGAGATCACACCACTGCACTCCAGCCTGGGCAACAGAGCAAGACTCTGCCAAAAAAAAAAAAAAGTCTGGGCACAGTGGCTCACGCCTGAAATCCCAGCACTTTGGGAGGCCAAGGTGGGTGGCTCACCTGAGGTCAGGAGTTCAAGACCAGCCTGACCAACATGGTGAAACCCCGTGTCTACTAAAAATACAAAAATATTAGCTGGGTGTAGGCTGAGTGCGGTGGCTCATGCCTGTGATCCCAGCACATTGGGAGGCCGAGGTAGGTGGGTCACCTGAGGTCAGCAGTTCGAGACCAGCCTGACCAACATGGTGAAACCCCGTCTCTACTAAAAATACAAAAATTAGCCAGCGTGGTGGCGGGTGCCTGTAATCCCAGCTACTCGGGAGGCTGAGGCAGGAGAACGCTTGAACCTAGGAGGCGGAGGTTGGAGTGAGCCAAGATCACGCCACTGCACTCCAGCCTGGGCAACAGAGCGAGACTCCATCTCAAAAAATAAAAAAATTTTTTTTTAACTAGCCGGGTGTGGTGGCGAGCGCCTGTAATCCCAGCTACTCAGGAGGCAGAATCGCTTGAACCTGGGAGGCGAAGGTTGCGGTGAGGTGAGATTGCACCATTGCACTCCAGCCTGGGCGACAGAGTGAGGCTCTGTCAAAAAAAAAAAAAAAAAAAAAAATGGCCGGGCACAGTGGCTCACGCCTGTAATCCCAGCACTTTGGGAGGCTTGAGGCAGGCGGATCATGAGGTCAAGAGATCAAGACCACCCTGGCCAACATGGTGAAACCCCATCTCTACTAAAAATACAAAAATTAGCCAGGCATGGTGGCGCGTGCCTGTAGTCCCAGCTACTCAGGAGGCTGAGGCAGGAGAATTGCTTAAACCCAGGAGGGGGAGGTTGCAGTGAGCCAAGATCGCGCCACTGCACTCCAGCCTGGCGACAGAGTGAGACTCCATCTTAAAAAAAATAAAAAGTGAGTTAGCAGAAAGAAAGAAAATGAAAACAAGTTTACAAGTTTAGACAACTTTTTCAGAGGTTAGGCTATGAAAATATGAACCTCTCTGGAGCAAAATATTGCCTCCAACCAATAAAAGAGAGAAATTAATGGAGAAAATCCCCTTGAGAAAGAAAAGAATATACAATTGAGAGATAGTATAAGGGCTGTTTATTAATAGGGTATATGAGCACAGATGCCCTCTTGATATTTTAGTAATTTAGTGGGGACCTAGAAGAACCCATGACATATATACCATCATCTCATCAGGGCAAACAGTATTAGAGCAAGAACTCAGTGTTTTAGGAAACTAAATATATTCAGATAAATATGTGGCAATGTTCTATTTTTATTTGCTTCCTTTTTTTTTTTTTTTTGAGATGGAGTCTTGCTGTCACCAAGGATGGAATGCAGTGGTATGATCTCAGCTCACTGCAACCTCTGCGTCATCCCAGGTTCAAGCAATTCTCCTGCCTCAGCCTCCCAAGTAGGTGGAATTACAGGCACCCACCACAGGCACCCACCACCATGCCTGGCTAATATTTTTTTTTTTTTTGAGATGGAGTTTCACTCTTGTTGCCCAGGCTGGAGTGCAATGGCACAATCTCGGCAACCTCTGCCTCCTGGGTTCAAGAGATTCTCCTGCCTCAGCCTCCCGAGTGGCTGTGATGCTGGGTATGCGCCACCATGTCCAGCTAATTTTGTATTTTTTTTTTTTTTTTTTTAGTAGAGATGGGGTTTCACCATGTTGGTCAGGCTGGTCTCGAACTCCTGACCTCAGGTGATCTGCCCGCCTCGGCCTCCCAAAGTGCTAGGATTACAGGCATGAGCCACCATGCCCAGCCAAATTTTTGTATTTTTAGTAGAGACAGGGTTTCACCCTGTTGGCCAGGCTGGTTTCGAACTCTTGAGCTCAAGTGATCTGTCCCCTTCAGCCTCCCAAAGTGCTGGGATTACAGGTACGAGCCACTGCGCCTGGCCACAATGTTCTATTAATAATCACATATGGGCCAAGCATGGTGGCTCACCCTTATAATCCCAACACTTCAGGAGGCAGAGGCAGGAGGATCACTTGAGGCCTTGAGTTCAAGACCAGTGTGGGCTACATAGTGAGACCCTGTCTCCACCAAAAATAAAAAATAAAAAAATTAGGCAGACATGGTGTTGTGCACCTGTTATCTCAGCTACTTGGAAGGCTGAGGAAGGAGGATCTCTTGAGCCCAGGAGGTGGAGGCTGCATTGAGTTATAATTACACCACTGCATTCCAGCCTGGGTGACAAAATGAGACCCTGTCTCTAAAAAAAAAAAAAAATTAAAAAATAAAAAATAAAAATACATTATTTTCATCTTTCCTCTAAAAGTTAAAAATATTCCACATATCAATACCCACGTAATTTATAACAGCTACACCGCTCAGTAATACCTTTGGTGAAGATTACTTATTTCTTCATCCTTGCGGTTTATTTCCACTCTGGCAGTTTTGATAAGTGCTGAAATATTCTTCTTAAGAGACTGGTTTTCGTTTATTAAGCTGAAATTCTAAAACACCACAAACTATATTAATAAAGTACATACCTATAGGGTTACTAATACTACTACATACATTAGCTGATAATTATTGAATGTTAACTACATGCAGGCATCATACATTTATAAGCCCTATGAGGAGTACTATTTATCCCCCTTATACAGGTGGGGAAGCTGAGACTATGAGAAGATAACTGGCACCAGAAATAGTCCCACTTAAAGTGAAACTACTTAAAACAGAGATTGAAATGAAAAACCAATGAACAGCAGAAAAAGTAAGTTCTGCCTGGGTCATGATCTTGAAAATTGAAAATAAAAATGGTAAGAATTAGGTTATAATTTAACAGCTTTGGTTAAACTTGCAAAGATGTATTAGTCCAGTCTGGGCATGGTGGCTCACGCCTGTAATCCCAGCACTTTGGGAGGCCGAGGCAGGTGGATCACCTAAAGTCAGGAGCTCAAGACCAGCCTGGCCAACAGGCCAAAACCCTGTCTCTACTAAAAATACAAAAATTAGCCAGGTGTCATGGTGGGTGCCTGTAATCCCAGCTACTTGGGAGGCTGAGGCAGGAGAACCGCTTGAGCCTGAGAGGCGGAGGTTGCAGTGAGCTGGAGGTTGCAGTAAGCCGAGATCGTGCCACTGCACTCCAGCCTGGCGAAGCGCAAGGCTCCATCAGAAAAAAAAAAAAGATGTATTAGTCCCCAGATAAACAAAGAAAGAATTGAGAGTTCACTGGTTCTTTCAGGGGGAAGAGAAGGAAGAGATACAATTTTACCAAAAAGTAAAAACTAGAACAGGACATGACATTCCTGATTTTTGCAGCACAGTCACAAAATAGGTCATTTTGGCAAAAGCTGTGAAGGCATCAACAGTGTCCCCCAAGAGCCATTTTAAACCCGTATCTTTGCTCCTCAAAACCATTCTTTTAAACCAGTTGTCATCATCTCCACAATTTTCTATTAATTAACTATTAATTGGCCTAAGTCTAACAGACCCTTTATAATCAATGTCATTTAATAAATCAAGCCGTTTTCCTTTATCAGTTTCATCAACTCGGAAAATAATGCATATTTGCCACATTTGCTATTTCATTCAATTTCATCAACTCAGGAAATAATGCATACTTGCCACATTTGCTATTTCATTTAATACTAAAAGAAAGCTTCCTTATAAACTGTCAACACTTTAACATTTTAATTTCTATTTATAACAACTTTTTTTTTGTTGTTTTACTTTTTTTAAGTGACAGGGTCTTGCTCTGTCACCCAGGCTGGAGTGCAGTGGCACAATCACAGCTCACTTTAACTTCAAACTCCTGAGTTCAAGAGTCCTCCCTCCTCAGCCTCCTAAGTAGCTAGGACTACAGGGGGCCATACACAGCTAATTGTTTTATTTTTTTGTAGAGATGAGGTTTCGCTACCTTGCTAAGGCTGGGCTCAAACTCCTGGCCTCAAGCAATCCTCTCACCTCTGCCTCTCAAAGTGCTGAAATTACTGGTGTGAGTCACTGTGCCTGGTAATTTGTTTTTTATGTTTTCATTTATACTCTACCTGTGTCTGTATTTCTTTAAATTTTTTCATCAGCTCTTTCATTTGTAGTTGACATTTTCCATATTCTACTTGCAACTATAAAATATAAAAGGATTAATTGAAGTATCATTCAAAATTATTTTCTTAGCTTAACTGGCATTTCTAAATATTTTAAATTTTGCAAATCAATTCACTAAGAAGGCAGATGAGGTCTACTTCTACCAGAAAGATAACCAGTTTTAAAGTTAAGCCTACAAATAATCTATTTTGTTTAGTTTCACATTCAACATCCAAACCTTAAAATTCAAATATAGTAGAAAGAAATAGAAGTCTGAGGACATTTTATGCAACATATAATTTAACTTTGTACATATCATGAAAGAAAAAATGTTGTAACACTGTTTGCCTGTTGAGGTTTTATATTCAGATGCTTAAATTGGGTCAAGCAAAATTATAACTAAATTTAGACAAGTATTCAGAAAACATTCCTTTAAAAAACAGGTCTGAAGACAAAAACTGACTTAAATATTTGTTAGTCTAAGAGCTAAGTTCCTAAACAAAATATCTGTTCAAAACTAAGCAGCTGACTGCTCTTCAGAAGCTACAAAACAGTAAATAACTGTCCTTAATAATTGTGGCAACCCATACATCATTATATGTTGCCTCCTTTGCAGTTCCTTCTTCAGTCAGGATCTCTTCATATAAGTCCAAACAATTTCTTGATGGTACACAGGATTTGGAAGCGCTGTCTAAAAACAAACAAACAAAAAAAACCTTCCATAAAAATACTTGTTACACTTTTTTCTTTTGTTTTTTTGAGTCTCGTTCTGTCACCCATGCTAGAGTGCAGTGGCAGTGGTGCAAATCTTGGCTCACTGTAGCCTCACCCTCCCAGGTTCAAGCCATTCTCATGCGTCAGCCTCCCGAGTAGCTGGGATTACAGGTGCACGCCACCACGCCCCACTAATTTTTGTATTTTTAGTAGAGATGGTGAGATGGTGTTTCACCATGTTGGCCAGGCTGGTCTCGAACTCCTGACCTCAAGAAATCCACCCGCCTTGGCCTCACAAAGTGAAAATATTTGTCACACCTTTTTTTTTTAGGAGTCTCCCTCTGTCACCCAGGCTGGAGCGCAGTGGCGCTATCTTGGCTCACTGCAACCTCCGCCTCCTGGGTTCAAGCGATTCTTCTGCCTCAGCCTCCCTGAGTAGCTGGGACTATAGGCACGTGCCACCATGCCCAGGTAATTTTTTTTGTATTTGTAGTAGAGACGAGTTTTCACTATGTTGGCCAGGCTGGTCTCCAACTCCTGACCTCAGGGGATCCGCCCGCCTCGGCCTTGCAAAGTGCTGGGATTACAGGCGTGAGCTACCGCGCCCAGCCTTGTTACACTTTTTGATATTTTATCTACTTCAAAGATTATACATTTCTCCATCTCCCATACTTCATCCTACATTTCACTTATCCTACATTCCAAATTTATACTGATTTTACAGATGGACTACCAATTTACCTAAAATGGTTGTGTCAACCAAATTAGGTATGAAGATCATAACTGTTCAAAACTCTGAGAAATCTGATTATGGAAAAGGTTTCTAATTTGAATAGGTCATTAGATTCTCAGCATATCACTCTTACTGATACGTTTAAAAATATTTATAGTAACTTACACTTTTCAAATGTTCTAATATCATATAACCTTCAAGAGTATGAGTGCGGCCAGGTGTGGTGACTTATGCCTGTAATCCCAGCACTTTGGGAGGCTGAGGTGGGCGGATCACGAGGTCAGGAGATCGAGACCATCCAGGCTAACATGGTGAAACCTTGTCTCTACTAAAAATACAAAAAATTAGCCGGGTGTGGTGGCACGTGCCTGTAGTCCCAGCTACTTGGGAGGCTGAGGCAGGAGAACCACTTGAACCCAGGAGGCGGAGGTTGCAGTGAGCCGAGATCAAGCCACTGCATTCCAGCCTGGGCGACAGTGTGAGACTCCGTCTCAAAAAAAAAAAAAAAAAAAAAGAGTATGAGTGAGTAGTAACAGACACCAGCACTAGTTGCACTTCAATAGTAGAAAATGTTTTTGCACAAGGCTCAATTAAATCTGAGACTGAGATGAATAAAAAACCTGTGTGCTAATTTGTTTTTCTGATCAAGCTTTGGTTAAGATTGGGTTCTGGAAGTTACTGTGGGGGAAAAGAAAGAAAAGAATTACCTCAGTGTAATTACAAAGAATGAGCAAATTCTTTAGGAGCTATGATATACCAGGATTTAGTAACCACAAAACAATGAACTGACCAAGAAAATGAAACTATTTTTATGGAATTCACATACCAGAAACAGCACTGTCCAACCCAGCGTATATGTCCAGTGAGCCTTCATCATTGTTCTTAAGAGGAGAAGCTGCAAGAAAGGCAAAGATTAGTTAAAAATGACTTTAGGCACTGAGATTTTTCCATTCCTACACTAAAGGACCAGGAAAAGAATGAGATTTAACAGTTTTGCTTTAAATAAGAGATAAGCCAGGCATGGTGGCTCACGCCTGTAAACTCAGCACTTAGGGAGGCTGAGGCAGGTGGATCGCTTAAGCTCAGGATTTCAAGACTAGCCTGGGCAACGGGGCGAAACCTCATCTCTACTAAAAATACAAAAAAAGGCCGGGCATGGTCGCTCCCGCCTGTAATCCCAGCACTTTGGGAGGCCGAGGTAGGCAGATCACTTTTCAACCCAGGAGTTGGAGACCAGCCTGGACAACACGGTGAAACTCTGTCTCTACTAAAAATACAAAAATTAGCCAGGAGTGGTGGTGCATGCCTGTAATCCCAGCTACTAGGGAGATTGAGGCACGACAATTGCTTGAACCCGGGAGGTGGAGGTTGCAGTGAGCCAAGATCGTGCCCCTGCACTCTAGCCTGGATTTCAGAGTGAGACCATGTCTCAAATTAAAGAGAGACAGGGAGAGAGAGACACAGACAGACATTGTCTCTACACATAGTTATAAACAGGAAGATTTTGGCACACTGATTTATTTATTGACTACCTCAGATACAGACTTTAAAAATTCAGTTTCAAAAATATACTAGTGAGGCCAGGTGCAGTGGCTCACACCTGTAATCCCCCGACTTTAGGAGTCTGAGGAGAGAGGATTGCTTAAGCTCAGGAGATCAAGACCAGCCTGGACAACATAGCATATCAAAAATAAAAATTAGCCAGGTGTGGTGGCACATGGGAGGCTAAGGTGGACTGCTTGAGCCCAGAAGGTCAAGGCTGCAGCGAGCCATGATTATGCCACTGCACTCCAGCCTGGGTGACAGTGCGAGATCCTGTCTCATATATATATATTCTACTGAAAGAGTTCCAATTCCAGTTATAGCAGAGTAGTTTCTATGAAACCAATCCTCCTGCAGGCAACTACTGTTGACACTAAATAAAATATGTGAAGCTATCTAAAGAGCTAGAGAACAACCTAAAGCAGGCAAAAACTAAAAGGGTAATGACAACTGAAAGAAAATAGCACCTCCCAAGCTCCCTGTCCCCTTTTATTACTGCTTTTTGTATAAAGACAGGCCCTAGTTGTAGCTACACTGGGCAGTGACAACTCAAGATAGAAACCTCCAGTCCTAGTAGCTTGAAGAACCGGAGAAAAGAATTTGTCATGATAACAGTGACTAGTACATGAAAGGGGAATTACAGAAATCCACAAAGAGCATTACTTAAATTCTGCCCAAATCTCTGGGTGACCCTCAAAAAAGGGTAGAACTCCAAAAAGCCAGCTAAATCTAAAATAGAGATTTCAGTTGCTATTACAGAAGAGACCGAATTGTAAGTTCAGCTAAGTTAAATATCTGCTAAAATTAAAAACAACTCTTCAGAGGAATGTTAACAGCATCCAGTGTCTAACATTTCATTTACAATGTTGACTATTCAATCCAAAGTTACTACATGGTGGCCAGGTGCAGTGAGTCACACCTGTAATCCCAGCACTTTGGGAGGCCAAGGCCAGAGGACTGCTTGAGCCCATGAGTTCGAGACCAGCCTAGGTAACATGGTGAGACTCTGTCTCTACAAAAAAAATTAAAAGAAAATTAGCTGAGCATGGTGGCAGATGCCTGTAGTCCCAGCTACTCAGGAGACTGAGGCAGGAGGATGACTTGAACCCAGGAGGTCGAGGCTGAAGTGAGCCATGTTCATGCCACTACACTCCAGCCTGGCTGACAGAGAAAGAACTTGTCTCCAAAAAAACCACACAGACAAACACAAACTTACTACATAGAAAATCTCAGAAACAATGAAAAAGAACCAAATGAAAAACCTACAACTGAAGATTACAATATCTAATATAAAAAATTACTGGATGTGCTTGACAGGAGAACCACTGAACTTGAAGACAGATCAACAGAAATTACCCAATCTGTAGATGAGAGAGCACTTTCTTAAAAAAGAACAGAGTCTTAGTGACCTACATGATAATATCAAAAGTCCTCACATAGTGTATATGTGGAGTCCAGAAGCAAATAGAGAATGGGGGGAAACTGCTACTAGAGGGATACCAAAGAATGCTAGGACTGGAGATGGTAAATAAATGAGTAATCGTAAAAGACTAATTTTTCTTCTTAATTTAAGATCCATAGAACTGTTACAGTAAACACTATAGCATTTTTTTTGTTTTGTTTTGTTTTTGTTTTTTTGTTTTTTTTGGGTTTTTTTTTTGGTTTTTGTGAGACAGAGTCTCGCTCTGTCGCCCAGGATGGAGTGCAGTGGTGCGATCTCGGCTCACTGCAACCTCTGCCTTCCGCCTCCCAGGTCCAAGCAATTCTCCTGCCTCAGCCTCCCAAGCAGCTGAGACTACAGGCACACACCGCCACACCTGGCTAATTTTTTGTATTTTGGTAGAGACGGGGTTTCACCGTGTTGCACAGGTTGGTCTCGAACTCCTGTGCTCAGGCAATCCACCCGCCTCGGTCTCCCAAAGTGCTGGGATTACAGGTGTGAGACACCACGCCCGGCCCAGTAAACACTATAGCATTTTATTGTGGGGTTCTAACATGAAAGGCAAAGAAGCAGATAGATGCAACCATACATGCAAGATATTGTAAAAAGGTACAATACTAGTAAACAGACTACAAAATGTTAAAGATGTATACACTTCCTCAAACAAATACTAAAAATAATACAAACAGGTATAGTGAAAAAGCTCATACATAAATGAAATGCATTTCAAAAATACACTCAAACATTACTAGCAGTTAGCACTAGTGCTAAAGGGAGAAAAAAAATTTAAAAATTTAAAATAAGTAAATAAATATATACTCAAATAATATTTGAAAGAAAATCAGAAAAAAATAACTGATGAGAAAAATTGAAGTCAAATATTAAAATGACCTAAATCCAACTACAATAATAAAGAACATCATTCGCTGGAATAAAAATAGCAAATCAAATACAAAAGTATTTTATCAGTGTTAAATCTAATGAAACTGAAATTACACTGTGGTTATATAAGAGAACCAACTTTTCCTTATGAAATACATACTGAAATACTTAGGGGTAAGGGGCCATAATGTATACAACTTACTCTCAAATGGGTCAGGAAAAAAAATGGGTGTGCATCTAGACGTGTGTGTGTGTGTGTGTGTGTGTGTGTTTACAAAGAGAGAGTCTAGGCTGGACGCAGTGGCTCATGCCTGTAATCCCAACACTTTGAGAGGCCAAGACAGGCGGATCACCTGAGGTCAGGAGTTTGAGAACAGCCTGGCCAACATGGTGAAGCGCCGTCTCTACTAAAAATACAAAACTTAGCCGGGCATAGTGGCGCACACCTGTAATCTCAGCTACTCTGGAGGCTGAGGTAGGAGAATCACTTGAACTCGGGAGGCAGAGGTTGCAGTAAGCTGAGTTAGCACCGCTGCACTCCAGCCTGGGTGACAGAGCGAGACTCCGTCTCAAAAAAAAAAAGGCAAGACACAAAGCAGAAAGTACACCGTAGCTGTGACTATTTTTAAAATGTACATGCTTTTCCTACTGCTTCACTTGATTAGCCTAAAAAATATATATATGGGCTGGGCGTGGTGGTTTATGCCTGTAATCCCAGCACTTTGGGAGGCTGAGGCGGGCAGACCACGAGGTCAGGAGATCGAGACCATCCTGGCTAACACAGTAAAACCCCGTCTCTACTAAAAATACAAAAAATTAGCCAGGCGTGGTGGCGGGTGCCTGTAGTCCCAGTTACTCGGGAGGCTGAGGCAGGAGAATGGCGTGAACCCGGAAGGCACAGCTTGCAGTGAGCCGAGACTGCGCCACTGCACTCCAGCCTGGGCGGCAGAGCGAGACTCCAACTCAAAACAACAACAACAACAACAACAACAACAACAACAACAACAACAAACAAACCTGGCCGGGCGCGGTGGTTCACGCCTGTAATCCCAGCACTTTGGGAGACCAAGGCGGGCGGATCACCTGAGATCAGGAGTTCGAGACCAGCCTGGCCAATATGGCGAAACCCCGTCTCCACTAAAAATACGAAAAAATTAGCCGGGCATGGTGGCACGCTCCTGTAATCCCAGCTACTCAGGAGGCTGACAGTAGAATTCCTTGAACCTGGGAGGCAGAGGTTGCAGTGAGCCTAGATCATGCCATTGCACTCCAGCCTGGGCAACAAGAGCAAAACTCTGTCTCAAAAAAAAAAAATGTGTGTGTGTGTGTGTGTGTGTGTGTGTGTGTGTGTGTGTGTGTGTATAGACAGCAACTTGACAGTGATACATAGAAATAAAAACAGCTGCATCCAGAAAATCAGATTAAATTGTAGTTTTGTCCTTCAAATTTTAATCGTTGCAGACGTGATGAAATTTAATCATTTGTGAATCTAGGTGACAAATAATGCTGTTCATTATATTATAGTTCCAATTTTTCAGTTTGGTGGCTTAAATTTTTTTTTTTCTTTGAGATGGAATTTTGCTCTTCTCCCAGGCTGGACTGCAATGGCAGGATCTTGGCTCACTGCAACCTCCACCTCCCAGTTCAAGCGATTCTCCTGCCTCAGGCTCTTGAGTAGCTGGGATTACAGGCGTGCACCACCATGCCCCGCTAATTTTTGTATTTTTAATAGAGATGGAGTTTCACCATGTTGGTCAGGCTAGTCTTGAACTCCTGACCTCAGGTGATCCACCTGTCTCAGCCTCCCAAAGTGCTAGAATTACAGGCGTGAGCCATCGCACTCGGCCTGGCTTAAAATTTTTCAAAGGAAAAAACATCAAAGAGAATTACATAACAGAATAACAACTTGAAACTACATCAGCAAAAATAAACACCAAATAACACCACCCAGAATGGTTATAATGGCCATAGTTGGTGTGAACTCTTCCATATCTATGAATTGTTTAAAACATTATTTTAAGCAAAAATGGAATTCTACTAAACATGTTTTATAACTGTCCTTCTTACTCTCCATGGCATAGGAATCATTATTCTGGTCAATAAACATATGCCCATATCTCAACAAATTCAATGAGGTCACAGCATGATTATCATTAAAAGAAAGAGATAATAATGTTATGTCAGTGTTTGGAAGTTTACCTTCTGCATATTATTTAAAATATTTCTATTTTGGGCTGGGCACGGTGGCTCACACCTGTAGTTCCAGCACTTTGGGAGGCCAAGGTGGGTAGATCACCTGAGGTCAGGAGTTCAAGACGAGCCTGGCCAACATGGTGAAACCTCGTCTCTACTAAAAATACAAAAATTAGCCAGACATGGTGGCAGGCACCTGTAATCTCAGCTACTCAGGAGGCTGAAGCAGGAGAATTGCTGGAACTCAGGAGACGGAGGTTGCAGTGAGCCGAGATTGCGACACTGCACTCCAGCCCAGGCTGACAACAGCAAGACTCAATCTCAAACAAAAAAAAAAAGAAAGAAATTCTATTTTATGAGCTTATTTTAATACCAGGTATTGACAGTTATCTCTTTTTCAAACTAATCATCCATTGTGACTATCAATTTTTTTTTTTTTTTTTGAGACAGTCTTGCTCTGTCATCTAGGCTAGAGTGCAGTGGCACAATCTCAGCTCACTGCAACCTCCACCTCCTGGGTTGAAGTGATTCTCCTGCCTCAGCCTCTTGAGTAGCTGAAATTACAGGCACATGCCACCATGCCCGGCTAATTTTTGCATTTTTAGTAGAGACGGGGTTCACCATGTTGGTCAGGCTGGTGTCGAACTCCTGACCTCGTGATTCGCCCGCCTTGGCTTCCCAAAGTATTGGGATTACAGGAATGAGACACTGCACCTGGCCCAATTTTTTTCTGAACAACAAACATCATTGCATTTACTAGAAATATTAACTTCAAGAGTAACAAAAACCTATCTTATATATTTTTAGGTATAACAATAAAAATCATTATCATTCATATTAGTAAAATCACTAATTTGACTACATTCTGAGGCTTGAAAGCATACAGTAAGTTCACACTTATTAAGCATTCCCATGTCCCAGGCATTTTATTTTATTAATTCATTTATGTATAGAGGGAAAAGGCTGATAATGACTGTGTTTCCAATGAGAATAGGTAAATGATTTTGTAATTTAAAAAGTAAAGTTAGGCAAGGCATAGTGGCTCACACCTGTAATCCCAACACTTTGGGAGGCAAAAAGGGAGGGTCGCTTGAGTCCAGGAATTAGAGACCAGCCTAGACCACACAGTGAAACCTTCTCTCTACAAAAAATAAAATGATTAGATGGCCGTGGTGGCATGTGCCTGTAGTCCTAGCTACTCAGGAGGCTGAGGCGAGAGGATCCCTTGAGCTCCCAAGTCTGAAGTCATAGTGAGCTATTAATGGCGCCACTGCACTCCACCCTGGGCAACTGGGGGAGACCCTGTCTCATAAAAAAAAAAAAAGGAAATTAGAAAGACAATTAAATGTAGCTCTTACCAGAAAAGACATCAAATAAACTTGTTCCATCACCATTGTCATCATCTGCTGCCATGATCCTATTTCCTTTTGAGAGTCACCACCTACGGTATTAAATATTTTAAAATTTCCACTGTTAAAATAAACCTCACAATTCAGAGAATAAACCTAGCTTCAAAACAAAAAGCAATTTTCGAATTTGGACACATTGAAAAAGTTCACTCTATCATTCTTTGTTTTTGGAGACAAAGTCTCACTCTGTCGCCCAGGCTGGAGTGCAGTGGCTTGATCTCTGCTCACTGCAACCTCTGCCTCCTGGGTTCAAGTGATTCTTGTGCCTCAGCCTCCCGAGTAGCTGGGATTACAGGAGTGTACCATAGCTGCGATTACAGGAGTGCACTACCATGCCTGGCTAATTTTTGTAATTTTAGTGGAAACCGGGTTTTGCCTGTCTGCCACGTTGGCCAGGCTGGTCTTGAACTCCTGGCCTTAAGCAATCCACCCACCTCAGCCTCTCAAAGTGCTGGAATTACAGGTGTAAGCCCCCATGCCTGGCCTTTCTCTCTAACATTATTAAAAGCAGATTTGTGTTATCAAAAAAAGTGCCTAATATTTTCCAGGAAAAAGTCAAAACTATAAAACAAAAATTTTAAACTTGTTAATATGGCCACGCATGGTGGCTCATGCCTACAATCTCAGCACTTTGGGAGGTCAAGTCAGGTGGATCGCTTGAGCCCAGGAATTTGAGACCAGCCTGGGCAACATGGTGAAACCCCATCTCTACAAAAAATACAAAAATTAGCCGACTGTAGTAGCCTGTGCCTGTAGTCCCAGCTACTTGGTGGCTGAAGCAGGAGGATCGCTTGAGCCTGGCAGGGAGAGGTTGCAGTAAGCCACGATAGTGCCACTGCACTGCAGCCTGGGTGACAGAGTGAGACCCTGTCTCAAAAACAAAACAAATAAACAAAAAATTGTCATTAAGCTATGTACAGAGTAAATGATAATTTTATAAAACAGACCAAAATACAAATTAACTTTTTTTTTTTAGATGGAGTTTCGCTCTTGATGCCCAGGCTAGAGTGCAATGGTGCAACCTCGGCTCACCACAACCTCCACCTCCTGGGTTCAAGCGATTATCCTGCCTCAGCCTCCCAAGTAGCTGGGATAACAGGCGCGCACCACAACGCCCAACTAATTTTGTATTTTTAGTAGAGATGGGGTTTCTCCATGTTGGTCAGGCTGGTCTCGAACTCCCATCCTCAGGTGATCCGCTGGCCTCAGCCTCCCAAAGTGCTGGGGTTATAAGCATGAGCCACTGCCCCTGGCCAAATTAACTTTTGTACTAAAATAAGAACCATCACTACTATCACAACACACACACACACACACACACACACACACACACACACACACACACACACATTAATACTAACAAGAAATACTGATACCAGGCCAGGTGCGGTGGCTCACGCCTGTAATCCCAGCACTTCGGGAGGCCGAGGCGGGCAGATCATGAGGTCAGGAGATCGAGACCACCCTGGCTAACATGGTGAAACCCCGTCTCTACTAAAAATACAAAAAATTAGCCAGGCATGGTGGCGGGCGCCTGTAGTCCCAGCTACTCTGGAGGCTGAGGTAGGAGAGTGGCGTGAACCTGGGAGGAGGAGCTTGCCGTGAGCCGAGATCGCGCCACTGCACTCCAGCTTGGGCGACAGAGCAAGACTCCATCTCAAAAAAAAAAAAAAAAAAAAAAAAAAAGCAAAGCTTTTGGAACTAAAAGATGTTTGACTTAATAATTAAGGAAACACAAATTAAAACAATGAGATATGCCATGTTGTGTAGGAAAGTGTTGGCATAGCCAGGCATGGCTACTTATCCTTAGAAAGGCTGCTTACTAAGGCCCTTGGCTGGAGTCTAAGAACTCAAATTTCAGGAGGGTTCCCACAATTTCCAGACTGATAAAAAGTGGCTCAATGTGCCTAAACTGTTCATACAAACAATTTGGTTTATCATAAACACCTGTTTCCTTCTGGGAGTCTTAAAATTTTAGTACATGCCAGGCAGAGGTGGCCTATGTGACCAGCCCCCAGTAAAGAGCCTAGGCACTGAGTCTCCAACATGCTTCCCAGGTAGACAGCATTTCACACCTGCTATCACTAGTTGCTGGGGGAATAAACAGATAAGTGCATGACTCCACTGGGAGCAAAACCATGGGAACTTTAACCTGGTTTCCTCTAGACTTTACCCCATGGACCTTTTTTCCCTTTGGTGATTGTGCTTTGCATCCTTTCATTGTAATAAATCATAGCTGTAAGTACAACTACATAGTGAATTCTATAAGTCTGGCAAATCATCAAACTTAGGGGTGATTTTGGGGACTCCTGACACGTTTTCACCAACAACATAGTAAGACAAGCAAATAACAAAAAGTTTGATAGTACACTAGGTTGACAAAGGTATGGGAAAAGATGTACTCTCATAGCTCTCTCAAGTGTACACTGGTAAAAGCTCCATGAAAGCAATTTGGCAACAGCTTTGATTTGATTAAAAATTTGATGAAATGTTTAAGTACAATACTCTGACCCAAAAATTTCACATCTAATAATCTGTTACCAGTGTTGTTTATGGTAAGACTAGAAACAACATAAGAATCCAAAACAGTAAAAAAACAAAAACAGGCTGGGCCGCAGTGGCTCATGCCTGTAATCCCAGCACTTTGGGAGGCCGAGGTGGGCGGATTACTTGAGGTCAGGAGCTCGAGATCAGCCTGGCCAACATGGTGAAACCTCGTCTCTACTAACACTACAAAAATTAGCTGGGTGTGGTGGCAGGTGCCTGTAATCCCAGCTACTTGGGCGGCTGAGGCAGGAGAACCTCTTGAACCCAGAAGGCGGAGGCTACAGTGAGCCGAGATCACACCACTGCACTCCAGCCTGGGCAAAAAGAGTGAAACTCTGTCTCACACATACACACACACACACAAAAAAAAGTCTCTCTTCACTAACTTATCTGGCATCCTCTAATCTGCCAGTAAAACCCAATGAATGATGCTTATGGCCACTGAACTGTGGCCACTTGGGGCTATGAAATTATTAGCAAGCCTGCACCTGCATACTACTGCTCCCACCAATTGAGATATATGCTTATATCTCAATGCTTAATCTGCTGCCTGAATCCTGAAGGACAGGAGGTGAGCCAAGGCCATGGTGCCAGCCTGAAGAGCAAGTACCCCTGAGAACCCAAACATCCCGGGGAGTATCTGAGAACCTACCAAGAAAAACAGTCTCATGGCTTAAATACAGTAGGCAATGAGCCAGAAAGTTAGCTTAAAAATAGTTTGCAGACAAAGGGCAGCATGGATCTCTACAGCTGTCCTGCTGCCATCCAGGAGTGCCTTGTAATAAATAAACTTATTAGTCCTAGTAAATGTATCTATTCACCAACCTGGACTTGTGAGTCATCCTTTGGTCTCCTGGCTCCCTCTTAGCTCGGGGGAAGGTTTTCTATATACGATTCTGGGTTTTTCTCAAAGCTTACCAATGTGCATTTATTATCAAATCAATTATGCTCATTTTCCTATTTTTCTAAATCACAGTATGATGAAAGATCACAATACCAAAGGGAGTTATTTTCTAGTGAAAACTAGGCAGAATGCTATGGAAAGACAGGTAACAAAACACACACACACACACACCTCTGCATGTCAAATCAAGTGAAGACAAAATGATCCAAAGTACTAGGGGAGAAAATCTAGTCTATACTCAGATCAATTAAAAAGTATGTAAGTTTTTTTTTTTTTTTTTTGTTTTTGTTTTAAGACAGAGTCTCCCTCTGTCACCCAGGCTGGAGTGCAGTGGCATGATCATAGCTCACTGCAACCTCCCTGGGCTCAAGCAAGGACAAAATAAAAACTGAAAATCATGGGCAATGTCTTACGGGTGTAGTTTACGCAAGAAAGACGTCAACACTCTCATCATTGGATTCATATTCAAAGAAAAGATCATGGTTCTACCACAAGAGATAAATAAAATCAAGGTGTATTTTTTTTCTCCATTCCTCACATTCCTCAACCTAACATTTGTTTCAATTAGTTCATTTGATTAGCTGTTATAAAATAGCCTGCACAATTACAAAAAGCACAAATAACACGATCACGTTTGGTAAATAACACAACTGACTCTTTGCAAAGCAAAATTCAACTGGTGAAATCAGATACTCAGAGGTTTCCTAATGAGAAATCTACTATTAGTAGCTGTAAGTGGTCACATGGAGAGGGGAGCATTAGTCATGAGGTGTCCTCTCAGAATAATGGAGAATCTAATGATTTGGTTAAAGAGATCAAACAGATCAAAGCTTTCCCTGCACTATTATTTCATACAGTTTTAGTTTATACTACTGGCAGGGATTACTTTAAAAAAAAAAAAAAGGTGTGGTAACTCACACCTGTAATCTCAGCACTTTGGGAGGCTGAGGTGGAAGGGACTGCTTGATCCTAGGAGTTTGAGACCAGCCTGGGCAACATGGCAAAACCACATCGAGACAAAAAAAAATACAAACAAACGGGCTGGGCATGGTGGCTCATGCCTGTAATCCCAGCACTTTGGGAGGCCGAGGTGGGCAGATCATGAGGTCAAGAGTTTGAGACCAGCCTGGCCAACATGGTGAAACCCTGTCTCTACTAAGAATATAAAAATTAGCCAGGAGTGGTGGGGCGTGCGTGTAATCCCAACTACTCGGGAGGCTGAGGCAGGAAAATCACTTGAACCCGGGAGGTGGAGGTTGCAGTGAGCTGAGATTGCGCCACTGCAAGCCAGCCTGGGCGACTGAGCAAGACTCTGTCTTGAAAACAAACAAAAAACCTCACACCTGTAATCCCAGCACTCTGGGAGGTCAAGGTGGTAGGTTCACTTGAGCCCAGGAGTTCGAGACCAGCCTGGGCAACATAGGGAGACCCCATCTCTATTTAAACAAAATAAATTTAAAAAAAAAGTAGCGAGGCATGGTGGTTCACACCTATAGTACTATCTACTTTAGTAGCTGAGATGGGAGGGTCAATTGAGCCTATGAGGTGGAGGCTACAGTGAGCTGTGATCATGCCACTGTACTCCAGCCAGGGCGACAGAGTGACAGACCAGACCGTGTCTCAAAAATAATAATTAGAAAAAGACTTGACCTAGTAAGTTAAACCTGGAAATAAATATAAATCTAAGAGACCTGGTAATCCTGGGTGTCTTTTTTTTTTAACAACTAGTCAAGGGGGGAAATAGTAGAACAAGAAGTTTGATCTGTAACTGATTGTGAACAGCCAACTGAGAAAACACTACTTTCGGACCAGCTAAACATGGATCTTTTGCCCCCATCTGTCTTAAATTTTTCTCCAAATTTTTTGTCAGATCATTATCTCCACATCTTAATTCTAGGTCCCCACCACCAAAGGTATTTTTTAAAAGATTATTTATAAATTTAAGAAGTGGATGCTCATTTCTTAATTGTGTCACATGATGCATTAATAGTCCTTCAAAATTTCTGAAAACATACACAGTAATATAGAGAAGTCATCAAAAGAAGTTATATGTGTGTGGTTTCTCACTGTGTACACATGAAAAAGTTAAAGGTTCTTAGCTTCCTAGGCTGTAGGAAAAGGAAAAAAGTAGTTAAAGGGACTGTGACAGTTATGCCTCTCAATTCCAAATCCATCCTTCTGTGATAATGGAGCTAGGCCTTGTAGATATTTCTCCTTTGCTAACTGGCACAAGGTTAAACCTTATCAGCAGAATGGTGGAGGAACACTGGAAGAGGAAGGGGGATTCTTTCCCTAGTTTCAGTGCATCTGGCTAGCAAAGCTCCTACAGAGCCTGCTGTCTCCAGCATTCAGTTCCAGCAGGGCGGTTTTCCACAGGCTCACTTCCTGTACATTAGGCTCCTATTATGATTGGCTCCTGCAGAATACGGCTTCCTCCTGCTAGGTTCATGGAGAGGGCAGCTTCTCCAACTCATAGATCCTTTAGCACCCAGGAGCTTCCCCATACACCTCCTCTGGCAGATTTAGAACAGAGTAAGACACTTAGCAACGTCTCCACCATCCAGTTGACCCCCCAGCAATGCTCTTTCCATGAGGTCTGGATCCCATCCTTAGAGTGAAGGAACACAGCTCTTCTTTGGATGATCTATCAAAACCCTAGAGGTCATAGCTGCTTCCTATATCTTATATTCCTATATTTTTCAGTTATTCTTTAACTATTACTTGACAATTACTAGTTACTTCAATCCTGTCAATAATTCTTTTTTTTTTTTTTTTTTTTTGAGACGGAGTCTCGCTCTGTCGCCCAGACTGGCGTGCAGTGGCGCAATCTCGGCTCACTGCAAGCTCCGCCTCCTGGGTTCACGCCATTCTCCTGCCTCAGTATCCCGAGTAGGTGGGACTAAAGGCGCCCACCACCACGCCCGGCTAATTTTTTATATTTTTAGTACAGATGGGGTTTCACGGCCTTAGCCAGGATGGTCTCGATCTCCCGACCTCCTGATCCGCCCGCCTCGGCCTCCCAAAGTGCTGGGATTACAGACGTGAGCCACTGTGCCTGGCCTTTTTTTTTTTTTTTTAATTTTTTTTTGGGACGGACTCTCACTCAGCCGCCCAGGCTGGAGTAAGTGGCGCGATCTCGGCTCACTGCAAACACTGTCTCCCAGGTTCAAGCGATTCTCCCGTCTCAGCCTCCACAGAGTAGCTGGGATTACAGGCACCCGCCATCATGCCCGGCTAATTTTTGTATTTTAGTAGAGACGGGGTTTCACCATGTTGGCTAGGCTGATCTTAAACTTCTGACCTCAGGTGATCCGCCCGCCCTGGCCTCCCAAAGTGCTAGGATTACAGGCCTGAGCCACGGAACCCGACCAATAATTCTTTATACTAAACTTTCCCTTTCAAATTAGTATGTGGTTTTTGTCTACTGACTGGACCCTGACCGATACAGATAAGTAAGTCACAATAGGCCGGGCGCAGTGGCTTATGCCTGTAATCCCAGCACTTTGGGATGGATGGTGGGTGGATTGCTTGAGGTCAGAAGTTCGAGACCAGCCTGACCAACACAGTGAAACCTCCTCTCTACTAAAAATACAAAAATTAGCTGGGCGTGGTCGTGGGTGCCAATAAAGCCAGCTATTCCAGAGGCTGAGGCAGGAGACTCACTTGAACCCAGGAGGCAGAGGTTGCAGTTAGCCGAGATGGCACCACTGCACTCCAGCTTGGGCAACACAGCGATTCTGTCTCAAAAAAAAAAAAAATTGTTACAATAGAGATTTTAACATACTTTTCTCTGATGATCAAGCAGTTAAAGAAATTTAAGGATATAGCTCTGAATAGAAAATTGACAGGTTTGATCTGATAATTTTATAACCCTGCATACCACAATTAAAAGAACTTACACTACTTTTAAGCACATTTATAAAAATTGTCTATGTATCAAGCTGCAGTGCAAGTTTCCACAAATATCAAAGAAATGTTTCCGTCTAGCCCAATAAAATTCAAAGTTAACAATGCACTTTCAAATTTCCCTGTTCAATTGGAACTTAATAAACATAGGTCAAAGAACAAATACTAATGGAAACTGGGAAAAAGTACAGAACTGAATAACAATGAATACAACACAGAAAATTCATGGGATAAAACCAAAATAGTACTTTTAAAGGCAAAGTTACAGTACTAAATGTATAGGAAGAAAGGACAAAATATTAATGAGGCCATCAATCACCTCAAGAAGTCAGAAAAAGAACAAAGTAAACCCAGATAAATAAAAATATAACCAGCAAAAACTAACAAAAATAAACAAGCACTAGAAAGATCAATAAAAATAAATGTTGGCTCTGTCAAAAGAGAAATAAGCATATCTATGGCAAAACTAATCAAGAAAAAGAAATAAGGCACAAACACCACAAATTTTAAAACAGTTAGGCCGGGCACAGTGGCTCGTGCTTGTAATCCCAGCACTTTGGGAGGTTGAGGCGGGAGGATCATTTGAGCCCAGTTCAAGACCAGCCTGGGCAACATAATGAGACTCTGTCTCTAAAAATAATAATAATAATAATGAAAAGTTAATCTGTTCCAGACAACAGAAAAAAACTATTTGTGAATAAGCAAATAATTTTTTGAGGCGAATACAACCTCAATTTCAAAACTGGTTGGGCCGGGCGCAGTGGCTCATGCCTGTAATCCCAGCACTTTGGGAGGCCGAGGTGGGTGGATCATGATGTCAGGAGATCGAGGCCATCCTGGCTAACACGGTGAAACCCCTTCTCTATTAAAAATACAAAAAAATTAGCCGGGTGTGGTGGCAGGCACCTGTAGTCCCAGCTACTCGGGAGGCTGAGGCAGGAGAATGGCATGAACCTGGGAGGCCGAGGTTGCAGTGAGTCGAGATCGCGCCACGGCACTCCAGCCTGGGCGACACAGTGAGACTCCGTCTCAAAAAACAACAAAAAACAAACAAACAAAAAAACTGGTCAAGAATAGGGCAAAACAAAAAAACTACAAGACCAGACAACTACAAGCCAATCTTTCTTATGAACATAAACAGAAATAGCCTTAAAAAAAAAAATCGGCCTGTCATCCCAGCACTTTGGGAGGCCAAGGTGGGTAGATTGCTTGACGTCAGGAATTCGAGACCAGCCTGGTTAACATGGTGAAACCCCGTCTCTATTAAAAACACAAAAATTAGGTGGCCATGGTAGCACGCACCTGTTATCCCAGCTACTCAGGAGGCTGAGGCGGGAGAGTAGCTTGAACCTGGGAGATGGAGGTTGCAGCGAGCCAAGATTGCACCACTCTCCAGCCTGGGCAACAGAGCGAGACTCCGTCACAAAGAAAAAAAAATCAACCAACTGAATCCAGCAAGATATTAAACGAAAAAGCACTACAGACAAGTGAGATTTATCCCAAAAATGTGAGGATGTCTAACATTAAAAAACCAATTAGTGGGCTGGGCACGGTGGCTTACGCCTGTAATCCCAGCACTTTGGGAGGCTGAGGCAGGCGGATCACGAGGTCAGGAGATCGAGACCATCCATCCTGGCTAACACGGTGAAACCCCATCTCTACTAAAAATACAAAAACAAAATTAGCCGGGTGTGGTGGTGGGCGCCTGTAGTTCCCGCTACTTGGGAGGCTGAGGCGGGAGAATGGCATGAACCTGGGAGGCGGAGGTTGCAGTGAGCTGAGATTGTGCCACTGCACTCCAGCCTGGGCGACAGAGCCAGACTCTGTCTCAAACAAACAAAAACAAACAAACAAAAAAACAATTAGTGGCCAAGTATGGTAGCTCATGCCTAAATCCCAGCACTTTGGGAAGCCTAGGCAGGCGGGCAGATTTGAAGTCAGGAGTTCAAGACCAGTCTGGCTAACACGGTAAAACCCTGTCTCTACTAAAAATAAAAAAAATTAGCCAGGTATGCTGACGCACACCAGTAATCTCAGCTACTTAGGAGGCTCAGGCACAAGAATTGCTTGAGCGTGGGGAAGGCGGAGGTTGAAGTGAGCCGAGATTGTCACACTGCACTCCAGCCTGGGCAACAGAGCAAGACTGTCTCAAAAAAAAAAAAATTAGTGGCTGGGTGCCAGGGCTCAGTGGTTCACACCTGTAATCCCAGCACTTTGTGGGCCCAGCACTTTGTGGGGAGGCCGAGGTGGGTGGATCACTTCAGGCCAGGAGTTCGAGACCAGCCCAGGCAACATGGCGAAATCCCATCTCTACAAAAAATACAAAAATTAGCCAGGCGTGGTGACACACTCCTATAGTCCCAACCATACTTAGGAGGCTGAGGTGGGAGGATTGCTTAAGCACAACCAGGAAGCAGAGATTGCTGTGAGCAAAGATCAAGTCACTGCACTCCAGCCTGAGTGACAGAATGAGACCTTGTCTCAAAACAGACAAACAAACAAATGCTAACATTAATAAACACATTCCTGTAGGTACAAACTCACCAAGTCCAAAACAAGAGATCATCTTTCCATCCATATCTGCTCACCTCCTCATTTCTCTAATTTCTTGGAGTAGCACTAACATTCCCTAACAGACTACTGATTTACTGATGCTACCTCTGAAATATTTCTCCCATTTATTCCCATTCTTGCCATTTCGATTTGTTTCAGGACCCCACTATAGCTACCTAATTATTTCCCCACTCCAAATACATGCTACGCACAACTACTGGGTTAGTTCTACCGCAATCCTGCTCAAAAACTTTCCGTTACTTCCCAATTTCTATAAAGTACAAATTCCTTATCCTGACTGGGTGCAGTGGCTCATGCCTATAATCCCAGCACTTTGGGAGGCCAAGGCAGGTGGATTACGAGGTCAAGAGATCGAGACCATCGTGGCCAACATGGTGAAACCCTACCTCTATTAAAAATACAAAAAAATTAGCTGGGCATGGTGGTGCATGTCTGTAGTCCCAACTGCTGGAGGCTGAGGCAGGAGAATTGCTTGAACCCAGGAAGGGGAGGTTGCAGTGAGCCGAGGTTGTGCCACACAGCTAGACTCCATTAAAAAAAAAAAAAAACTTCCTTATCCTGACATAGACTGACACCTACCATTCTAGCTCCATTATTCACTATCTCAAGGTTTCCAAAATCCCAAGGTTCAATTAAATTAGGCTCACATTGGCGAACACTTCTTGACACGATCTCCCCACATCTGTTCCCCACCACATCTGTCTATAAGTTCACAATCAAGTATGGGTGTGAACACCTACAGAATAGAACATGGGAAGGCAAGATCAGAATGTGAGAATAAAGTTTAGGAAGTCACAGGCCCCGAGGCTGCAGTGAGCCAAGATCGTGCCACTGCACTCCAGCCTAGGTGACAGTGAGACTCTCTCAAAAAAAAAAAAATAAAGGTCAGGGGATGTATTATGTGATTAAGATACTTGGATTCCATCCAGAAGGGAATGGGGGAACCAGTGAAGGTTTTTAAAGTAGGGCAATATAATGATCAAATCTGCATCTTAGATGTTTAACTCTGGCAAGAGTCTGGAAAATATGAGTGGGAAGGGAGATAGAAAAGGCTACCAAAACAAAGCAGAAGACAACGAGGTGTCACTGTAAGTTCTTAGTAGTGGAAATAAAAATAAGAAACAGATCTTGGCTGGGCACGGTGGTTCATGCCTGTAATCCCAACATTCTGGGAGGCTGAGGCAGGAGGACTTCTTATGCCCAGGAGTTCAAGACCAGCCTGGGCAACACAGTGAGACTCCATATCTACAAAAAAAAGAAAAGTTAGCTGGGTGTGGTGGCACATGCTTCCGGAGGCTGCAGTGAGCTGTGATTGCACTGCTGCACTCCAGCCTGGGTCAAAGAGCGAGACTGTCTCAAAACCAAACCAAAAAACCCACAAAACACTAAAAACAGATCTGAGAGGTAGTCAACAAGATTTAATGGAAAGTGTATTCAAATGGACAGTCTTCCCCCATTTCAAATTGTTCTTCAAACCTCAGCATGAGTTGTCTTTTAAAAATGCAAACATGATCGTGTTCCCAACTCTGCTTAAACACTTCAGTGCTTAGGCTGGATGTGGTGGCTCACGCCTGTAATCCTAGCACTTTGGGAGGCTGAGGCAGGCGATCACCTGAGGTGGGTGATCATCTGAGGTCAGGAGATCACCTGAGGTCAGGAGTTCGAGACCAGCCTACGTCATCTCTACTAAAAATACGAAAATTAGCCAGCCGTGGTGGCGCATGCCTATAATTCCAGCTACCTGGAAGGCTGAGGCAGGAGAATTTCTGGAAGCTGGGAGGCGGAGGCTGCAGTTAGCCGAGATCACGCCACTGCACTCCAGTCTGGGGGACAGGAGACTTCGTCTCAAAAGAAAAAAAACAAAAAACAAAAAAAACCCCACCAAAAAGCCCTTCAGTGCTTCCTGCTGATTTCAGGATAAAAAACAAATTTTGAGGCCAGGCGCAGTGGCTCACGCCTGTAATCCCAGCACTTTGGAAAGCCGAGGTGGGCAGATCAACTTTGTTCAGGAGTTCGAGACCAGCCTGGCCAACACGGTGAAACGCCATCTCTACTAAAAATACAAAAATTGGCCAGACATGGTGGCACACACCTGTAATCCCAGCTACTTGGGAGGGTGAGGCAGGAGAATCACTTGAACCTGAAAGGAGGAGGTTGCAGTGAGCCGAGATCATGCCACTGAACTCCAGCCTGGGCAACAAAGAGAGACTCCATCTCAAAAAAAAAAGGAAATATGCACTTTTTTTTTTGAGACAGAGTCTCACTCTGTCACCCAGGCTGGAGGGCAGCGGCACAATCTCTGCTCACTGCAACCTCTGCCCTCCGAGTTCAAGCGATTCTCCTGCCTCAGCCTCCTCAGTAGCTGGGATTACAGGGGCCTGCTGCCGCGCCCAGCTAATTTTTTGTATTTTTAGTAGAGACAGGGTTTCACCATCTTGGCCAGGCTGGTCTTGAACTCCTGACCTTATGATCCACCCGCCTCGGCCTCCCAAAGTGCTGGGATCACAGGCGTGCACTACCGCACCCAGCCCTATATATACACTTTTAATGTGTAACTTTTGTATGCTGAATGGTACTTTTTTTTTTTTTTTGCTTTTGAGGGAATTAATAAGATATAATTAATTGTGTCTTAACTTTTGAAAGAAATTTTTAGATGGAGGCAACTGGGATGTTTGTGATAATAGATAAGAAAGACACCACTGACCTGTAGTTAAATTGGTTTGAATTGCAGATATTCATTATTGAATTTATTCCTGTTTTCTCATACTTTAGAAAAGACACCTGAACAATAAATGAATCCTGGATAGTGTACTGTCCTTCAAACAATGAAGTGATATTAATACTTGCCTGCAGGAGATGCATACTACAGGAGAGAACCCTTAGACTATGTCAGGCCACACTATGAACCTCCCCCCACCTGCCTTTTTTCTCCTTTATGTTTCTGTTACCGTACTAACATTGTGGATTAACGACACTGAAATTCTGCATAATGTGAACAGGATAAACTATTTATAAATCGAAAAAAAAAAAAACAACACAGGGCTTCTGCAGGGAATATTCTTTCCTCAATATTCTACTTTCACTTAGCTCTTCTTTGATATTTTGCTTAAGCCATTTTGAGTCTCCCCTGTCCACCCTCTCTTCCCACTAAGTCAGGCCCTCTGTTATATACTCTTACCCCATTGTGTCCTTTCCCTACATGACCTCTTCTTGAAGTTCATGATTCCATTTTTGTGGGATTCCTGGAGAAATGTCCATCTCACCCAATGGACCACCCAATGGTTCTCCATAAAGATTAGGACCATCCCTGTTCTGTTCCCCAGCTCTCACTGTATCCCCAGCTCTCAGCAGGCCTAGCAGAATGGCAAGTAATAAAAGAATATCTGTTGAATTAAAGAAATACCCAATTTGTTAAAGATGATTCTCATGTTTCTAGCTTTGGAGGACAGTCATGCTTTAACTGCAATGGACAACCAGTGAAGTCATGTTGAGTTATCTGTAGGACATCCAGATAAAGATGTCTAACAGCAGCTGGGGGTGGTGGCTCATGTCTGTAATCCCAGCACTTTGGGAGGCCAAAGCAGGTGGATCACGAGGTCAGGAGTTCAAGACCAGCCTGACCAACATGGTGAAACCCCGTCTCTACTAAAAATACAAAAAAATTAGCTGGGCGTGGTGGTGCGCACCTGTAATCCCACACTCGGGAGGCTGAGGCAGGAGAATCGCTTGAACCTGGGAAGCGGAGGTTGCAGCGAGCCGAGATCGCGCCATTGCACTCCAGCCTGGGCGACAGGGCAAGACTCCATCTCAAAAAGAAAAGAAAAAAAAAAAAGGCCGGGCGTGGTGGCTCATGCCTGTAATCCCAGCACTTTGGGAGGCCGAGGCTGGTGGATCACCTGAGTTCAGGAGTTTGAGACAAGCCTGGCCAACATGGTGAAACCCCATCTCTACTAAAAATACAAAAATTGGCTGGGCGTGGTGGCATGTGCCTATAATCCCAGCTACTCCGGAGGCTGAGACCAGAAGAATCGCTTGAACCTGGGAGGCAGAGGTTGCAGTGAGCTGAGATCGTGCCACTGCATTCCAGCCTGGGAAACAGAGCAAGACTCCGTCTAGGGGAGAAAAAAACAAAAAACAAAAAGATGTCCAACAGCTGGAAATGTCATACAGAAAAGGCATGGTAGGTATTATGATTTGGGACTCATCAGCACCTTAGTGATACGTGAGATTACACTCTTGAAATCATATAGGCCAGTGATTCTCCTGGAAGGAGAGGAAGGAGAGGAGGAAGAAAAATGTATCAGAATCTCTTGGAAAATGGGTCTTTTTCACTTTTCCTCACCTTCTCCCATTTGAGGATCTCGATATATGAGAGTTGCTACCGACAGAAGTGATGCACCTGTGAAAGTGTAGAGGCAAAATTTTCCAAGTTGAGAACTATCATGCTGAAAAAGAGTTTGTATTGGGAGGCCGAGGCAGGCGGATCACCTGAAGTCAGGAGTTCAAAACCAGCCTGGCCAACATGGTGAAACCTCATCTATACTAAAAATACAAAAATTAGCCTGACATGGTGGCACACACTTGTAATCCCAGCTACTGGGGAGGCCGAGGCAGGAGAATCGCTTGAACCTGGGAGGTGGAGGCTGCAGTGATCTGAGATCGTGCCACTGCAACTCCAGCCTGGGTGACAGAGTAAGACTCTGTCTAAAAAAAAAATGTTTGGCCGGGCGTGGTGGCTCAAGCCTGTAATCTCAGTACTCTGGGAGGCTGAGGCGGGCGGATCACAAGGTCAGGAGATCTAGACCATCCTAGCTAACAGGGTGAAACCCGTCTCTACTAAAAATACAAAAAATTAGCCAGGCGTGGTGGCAGGCGCCTGTAGTCCCAGCTACTCGGGAGGCTGTGGCAAGAGGATGACATGAACCCGGGAGGCGGAGCTTGCAGTGAGCCGAGATCGTGCCACTGCACTCCAGCCTGGGTGACAGAGCGAGACTCCGTCTCAAAAAAAAAAAAAAAAAGTTTGTAAGCAGATTTACTCATGCATAATCTTTTCTGGGACAATTCCAATGGATTCAGATGTGAAAGCAAAGTAGACAGGAGAAGGATCACATAGCCTTTCGTTATAGGCAGTCTGAAGGAAGTTTTCTTTTTAAAATTGAGAGAATGTGGCTGGGCGGGGTGGCTCACACTTGTAATCCCAGTACTTTGGGAGGCTGAGGGCAGTCTGATCACTTGAGCCTAGGAGTTCGAGACCAGCCTGGGAAACATGGCAAAACCCAGTCTCTACAAAATACAAAAATTAGCCAGGCATGCTGGTGCACACCTGTAGTTCCAGCTACTTGGAAGGCTGAGGTGGGAGGATTGCTTGAGCACAGGAGGTCAAACCTGTAGTAAGCCGAGATCTTGCCATTGCACTCCAGCCTGGGCTATAGTCTCAAAAAAAAAGGAAAAAAGAAAAAGAAAAATCATTACGAAACTGAGAATGTGTCCTTAATGTAGACGCTAAAAGACAAAAAATAAAATTTAGAGAAAAACACAAGCATTTGTAGAGAAAAACAGGAAAAAGCCAGAGAAGACAGTGTATTTTTACACTCATGGGAAAGGCTAATACAGCAAGACCCCAGAAGAAGAGGTAAGGGGCAAATACTAACAAAAGCTATCATATACGGCACATTTACTATGTTCCAGGCACTAACCTAAATGATCTAAATACATTATTCACTTAGTTTAAATCCTCCCCAGAGTTCTATGAGGTCCATATTATTCTTTTCCCCATTTTACAGATGAGGAAAACACAGACGATCAAGAAATTTGCACAAGGCAACCACCTGGTAAGTGGCAGAGCTGAAATTAGACCCCAGGTCTGTCTGTAAAGCAAGATGGCCAAAATCAAGAATATTCAATACAATATAAATGTTTTTGGAAAGAAGGCCATCTCTTGTAAAACGGAACGCCAGGAAAAGATAATTGGAGGGCATAGCGGGGATAGGAAGGGAGATGGGAGAATCCCTGCCATGAAAGCCTCTGTCCCCCTCCAGTCAAAGAGGCGCTGAGGGAGATGGGGGGGAAAGGCCTTGAGGAGAGGCGAAAGGTTTGCTGCTGGAGGTGTGGAGAATGGAAAAAGACCAAGGAAGAGTCGAAGAGTCAAAGACAACTTGATGCCTGAAGCACAAATGCTCAGCTCCTACGAATCCTACATTCACATCTGAGTTAGGGCCTACTATGTGCTAGGAATGAATCTAGGCGCTGTAGAAATGAAAAACTTATTTAGGCATGTTGGTTTGATGCCTAAATAAACATTTCAGAAACAATCAACATCAATGATCACCTGACACTCCAGGAAACCCATTTCTCCAAAGAACTCCATCCGAAAGATTTTAAGAGTATATTCCAAGGAGAGACTGGATGGTGGGGGGGAGGGGCAGGACGAGAGGCCGAAGGGACAATTCCTGGGCGCGCCCACCCATAGTCCCCGCCCAGACCCTCTCGAAGGACCACAGAGGGACGCAGGGTGCAAGCCCTGAAGCTGCACCGGGGGCGGAGGGAACGTGGCTACCTGCGGCCAGACGTCAGGCGCGGCCCTTCCCCGACCTACTTGGCCGCTCCAGATGGACTCCCTCCGACTCTCTGGTTTCCCAGGGGCAGCCGACCTCCACTCGGGGGACTACCGCGCCATGCAGCCTCTTCCTTAGCAGTCCCTCACGGACCGGGCCCCTACGACAACTTACCCGCCCTGCCCGGCCCAAGACAACCCGGTTCCTTTCTGCCCACCGAGGTCTCCCTGGCATCTCCACCAATACCAGAGCGCTATCAGGGTATGGAGGCGGGACTGAGTGCCTACGGCCAATCATATCAGACGCAAAGCACGTCGCAGCGCCCACAACTAGTTCCCGCCTTTGGAAGGGAAAAAAAAAAACACGGTTGGCGCCAAACTCCAGTAATCTTCCTAGGGCTTTAAGAGAGAGGGGCGGGGTGTAAGGTGGCGGGGAAGGCGATGGGGCGGGGCTTCAATAGGAAGGGGCTGACCTGAGTGGAGGTAGGGGCGTGGCCTGAGAGAAGCTTTTTAGTGAAAGACAGGAAGCCTTGAGAGGTCTGTCATTTATTTAATACTTTATCTTAAAATTCTGCTGTCAGCTGCGTGCGAGACAAAGTGCTGGGCTCGATTACGATGAATAAATTTGTTCCCTGCCCTCAGACGCGTTCCTGGATGATAGGCAGACAAACAACTTAGCTTCGGATGTTGGGAGCCTTAAGGAGGGGATACTAGTCTAGCGGGGCAGGAGAGAGAAGAGCTTTTTACAGGGTGGAATACCTGACTTGCCTTATAGAACCTGTAGGAATGGGGGGTGCCGGTAGGTCTAGCCTCAGGAGCTCAGCCTGAGCATTGATAGGTGCGAAAATAAGGCCACCTTCCTCGGCTACTTATAGTCTGCCTATATTCATCCCTACCCATTTCCTCGTTTGTCCACTTAGCTTTTTTTTTTCTTTTTGCTTTCAGACAGGGTATCGCTTTGTCGCTCAGGCTGGAGCGCAGTGGAGCGATTTCGGCTCCCTGCAACCTCCACCTCCAAGGCTCGAGAGATCCTCCCACCTCTGCCTCCAGAGTAGCTGGGACCATAGACGCGAGCGACCACCACCCCTGGCTGTTTTGTTTCGTTTTGTTTCTGAGATGGAGTTTCACTCTTGTTGCCCAGGCTGGAGTGCAATGGCGCGATCTCGACCCACTACAACCTCCGCCTCCGGGGTTCAAGTGATTCTCCTGCCTCAGTCTCCCGAGTAGCTGGGATTGCAGGCATGTGTTACCACGCCAACCTAATTTTTGTATTTTTAGTAGAGACAGGGTTTCGCCATGTTGACCAGGCTGGTCTTGAACTCCTGTCCTCAGGTGATCTGCCCAGCTTGGCCTCCCAAAGTGCTGGGATTAAAGGCGTGAGCCACCCACGCCCGGCCACCCCTGGCTAATTTTTTAAAATTTTTGTAGAGATGGGGTCTTGCTATGTTGCCCAGGCTGGTCACGAACTTCTGGGCTCAAACAATCCTCCCACCTCAGTCTCCCAAAGTGCTGGGATTACAGGTGTGAGTCACTGCACCTGACCCCATTTAGTCTTAACTGCCATATCAACCAATTTATTTTTATTTTTATTCTTTTTTTTTTTTTTTTGAGACGGAGTTTCACTCTTGTCACCCAGGCTGGAGTGCAGTGGTGTGATCTCAGCTCACTGCAACCTCCGCCTCCGGGGTTCATGCGATTTTCCTGCCTCAGCCTCCCAAATAGCTGGGATTACAGGGGCCTGCCTGGCTAGTTTTTTGCATTTTTAGTAGAGATGGGGTTTCGCCATGTCGGGCAGGCTGGTCTCAAACTCCTGACCTCAGGTGATCTGCCCGCCTCGGCTTTCCAAAGTGCTGGGATTACAGGCGTGAGCCACCGCGCCTGGCTTTATTTTTATTATTTTTTTAGAGACAAGGTCTCAGTCTGTTGTCCTAGCTGGAGTGCAATGGTGTGATCATAGCTTACTGCATCCTCAAACTCCTAGGCTCAAGCAATGCTCCTACCTCAGCCTCCCAGGTAGCTGGGACCACAGGCACACAACACCACACTCGCCTTTCTTTCTTTCATTTTTTTTTTTTTTTTTTAATATAGACAGGGTCTCGCCATGTTGTTGCCCAGGCTCGTCTCCAACTCTTGACCTCAAGCAATCCTCCGACCTCTGCCTTCCAAAGTGCTGGTATTACAGGTATGAGCCACTCCACCTAAGTTATGTATTTTTATTTGCACATATGCATGGCTTTTTTTTAATTAATTAATTAATTAACTTTTTTTTTTTTTTGAGTTGGAGTTTTGTTCTTGTTGCCCAGGCTGGAGTGCAATGGGGCGGTCTCGGCTCACTGCAACCTCCACCTCCCAGGTTCAAGTGATTCTCCTGCCTCAGCCTCCCAAGTAGCTGGGATTACAGGCACCTGCCACCAGGCCTGGCTATGTTTTTTGTATTTTTAGTAGAGATGGGGTTTCACCGTGTTGGCCAGGCTGGTCTCAAACTCCTGACCTCAGGTATTCCGCCCGCCTCGGCCTCCCAAAGTGCTGGGATTACAGGCGTGAGCCACTGTGTCTGGCCGGCTTTAATTTTTTTAATAAGAGCTTTACTGGGATATAATTTACATACTATATAATTCACCCAAATAAGTTGGGTGTGGGAGGGTGTTAGATACACAGTCTGCCTCTGTCACCCAGGCTGGAGTGCAGTAGCACAATCGTAGTTCACTGTAACCTTGAACCCCTGGGCTCAAGAAATCCTCATGCCTGGGCCTCCCAAGGTACTGGAATTACAGATGTGAGCCACTGTGCCTGGCCCCAATTAAACTGTTGAGTTTTCAGCACCATAAGACAGGGTGAGAAAAATAAAAACTAAATTAATTAATTACTTTTTGAGTTTGTATTTTTATAACCTTTCACTTTTGAACCATGTAACTGTTTCACATATTCAAAGACTGAGTTAAATCAGAAAGAAAAAAATCCTAAAATGGAAAATTATTTGAAAAAGTTAAACTGTAAAAAGAGAGAAATGTAACCATAGAGAAAATAATTCCTTGAAGTGACATTTAAACATAGTGCTCTAATTATTGTGAGACAAAGTAAAAAGGGTAAGAAGCCATTTTGCTCATTTCTGCTTGCCATCTAATTTCACAAAGCCCCTCACTCTGTGAGGAAGTGCAGCTCTCTGAAAAGATGCTTTGAAGGCAAACCAGGATAGTGCACACAGCCCCCAACATCTCTTGCCTGAGTCACTATATTGCTTAAAGGAGGAATATGGACGTGCGCAGTGGCTCACGCCTGTAATCCCAGCACTTTGGGAGGCCGAGGAGGGCGGATCACGAGGTCAGGAGATCGAGACCATCCTGGCTAACACGGTGAAACCCCGTCTCTACTAAAAAATACAAAAAATTAGCTGGGCATGGTGGCGGGTGCCTGTAGTCCCAGCTACTAGGGAGGCTGAGGCAGGAGAATGGCGTGAACCCGGGAAGGGGAGCTTGCAGTGAGCCGAGATCGCACCACTGCACTCCAGCCTGGGGAACAAATCGAGACTCCGTCTCAAAAAAAAAAAAAAAAAGAAAGGAAAGGAGGAATATAGTGCCTTTTCCTACACATGAGATAACGTCTGATAGGGTTAGTGATTATGCCTCTGAAATCTATAACTAGATGTACTCCTGCACCAAAACTTTAATGTGATTTTGCACATACTGAACCTCCACCACAGGTATATAAACAGTGGGCTGAAATACTGTGCTGCAGCAGTCTGACAGAACTCTGAAGGACAGCTCCTGGGCTGTAGACCTCAGTCTATAGTCCTCGGTACGACTATAGACTGAATAAAACTAACATTTTTTTTGAGCTGGAGTCTGGCTCTGTCCCCAGGCTGGAGTGCATGATCTCAGCTCACTGCAATGTCTGCCTCCCAGGTTCAAGCAATTCTTATGCCTCAGCCTCTTCAGTAGCTAGGATTACAGGCGTGCACCACTATGCCCAGCTAATTTTTGTATTTTTAGTGGAGACTAAAATACAACATGGTGAAACTCTGTCTCTACTAAAAATACAAAATTTGCCGGGTGTGGTGACGCATGCCTGTAATCCCAGGTACTCGGGAGGCTGAGGCTTAAAACATAAACTTTCTCAGTGGATTTATTGACACAGATAACAGTCTGTTAAGTGAAAAAAGTTGTCTTGGAGTAGCTCTCTTCCTGGTACAGATAGCTTTACTAACAGAAATTTCCTTTGTGAGTATAAATTTCCTTTGCAAAAGGGTAAGTTTATACTTTATTTTAGGCAATTGGGGAGGTAAAGACGTTTCACTGAGTTGGCTGGTTCTGATTTTTCTTTACTTCAAAATAATCAGTATGTCAAAATGGTCTGTTTCGGGGTTGCACGTTCTGAACCTCTTTAACTTAATCAACAAGCAAAAATTTCTTACAGTTCTAGAGGCTGGGAGATCCAAGATCAAGGAGCCAGCAGATTTATTGTCTGGTGAGGGCTCCCTTCCTGGCTTGTAGATGGCCACCTTCTTAGTGTATCCTCCCTTGGCAGAGAGAGAAGGGACTCTAGTCTTTCCCTCCCATTATAAGGGCAATAATCCTATTATGAGGACTCTATCCTCAAAACCTCATCTAAATCTAATTACCTCCAAAAGGTCTCACTTCCAAATACCATCACACTGGGGTATTAAGACTTCAACATACGAATTTTGGAGGTTCACAAACATTTAAATCATTTTGCCATTTCTTATAATTCACAGTTTCCCCTCCCATACTTTTTTCTTAAATTTATGTCTTGAAAAACCTGAGTTTTTGATCTGTAGAATCTTTCACAGTCTGAGTTTTTCTGATTATAAATTCATGGTGCAGCTTAACATATTCTATCATCTTCATTTTAAAAAATCGACAGCTGGGGCCAGGCACAGTGGCTCACACCTGTAATCCCAGCACTTTGGGAGGCTGAGGCTGGCGGATCACTTGAGGCAAGGAGTTTGAGACCAGCCTGGTCCAACATGGTGGAACCCTGTCTCTACTAAAAATACAAAAATTAGCCAGGTGTGGTGGTAGAAGCCTGTAATCCCAGCTACTTGGGAGGCCGAAGCAGGAGAATCGCTTGAACCCAGGAGTTGGAGGTCACAGTGAGCTGAGATTGCGCCACTGTACTTCCAGGCTAGGTGACAGAGCAAGGCTCCATCACCCCCCCCAAAAAAAAAAATTGACAGCTGGATCAGAGGTTTGATCCTTTTGGTAAGACTATAGGTAGCATTATGTTCTTTCAGCAAGAGCTATCTAAAGTCTGGTTTTTTTTGCCCCTTTTGCTATGTTAGCAGCCATTGATACTTAATGCCAAGATTAATGGATTAACTGGGAGTTGCAAAATAGTGGTATTCTAATTTTGTCAATTCTTTTTTTTTTTTTTTTTTTTTTGAGACAGTCTCGCTTTGTTCCCCAGGCTGGAGTGCAGTGGCACGATCTCTGCTCAGTGCAAGCTCCGCCTCCCAGATTCATGCTATTCTCCTGCCTCAGCCTCCCAAGTAGCAGGGACTACAGGCGCCCACCACCACGCCCGGCTAATTTTTTGTATTTTTAGTAGAGACGGGGTTTCACTGTGTTAGCCAGGATGGTCTAGATCTCCTGACCTCGTGATCTGCCCTCCTCGGCCTCCCAAAGTGCTGGGATTACAGGCGTGAGCCACCACACTGGCAATTCTTTTTCAAATTAGGTGGACTATTCTCAGGAAGAGACACTTGTCATCATCTTCTATTTAGTTACCCAGTGGTACAATTCACATATGAGAGGCAGGATACATTTTTATATTTCTCCCTTTATCAGCTTTCAAGATTGACTTCTTACTCTCCAAAGGCAACAAATTTTTAAAATTATTAGTATTATATTAATGGGTTAAACTAATAGGTTTTGATTCATTATAACTGCTATCTTTATTAAAGCTCAGATTGTATCATCTTTGGTCAATGGTAGCATCTACAAGTTGATACCCAAGTTCTCTTTACATGACACTCATAATTTTTTTCAAAAATATTAATTTTCAGAGGTCACCAATGGCCGTTGGGTGGGCACCACCAGCAGAGAAAGTAGCGTAAGACTTAAGACAACTTAACACATTTAAGACCAGGCATAGTGGCTCATGCCTATAATCCCAGCACTTTGGGAGGCCAAGGCTGGAGGATTGTTTGAGCCCAGGAGCGGGAGACCAGCCTGGGCAACATACTGAGACCTTGTCTACTAAAAAAAAAAAAAAAGAAGAAGAGCTGGGTGTGGTGGTGCATGCCTGTAATCCGTGCACTTTGGGAGTCCGAGGTGGGAGGATTACTTGAAGTCAGGAGTTTGAGACCAGCCTGGCCAACATGGTGAAACCCTGTCTCTACTAAAAAATACAAAAAATTAGCCAGGTGTGGTGGTGCACGCCTGTAATCCCAGCTACTCCAGAGACTACAGAGGATGAGGCAGGAGAATTGCTTGAATCCAGGAGGGAGAGGTTGCAGTAAGCCAAGATCATACCACTTCACTCCAGCCTGGGTGACAGAGTGAGACTCTAACTCAAAAAAAAAAAAAAAAAAAAAAAAAAATTTGGGTGTGGTAGCAGGTTCCTGTAGTCCTAGCTGCTCAGGAAGATTGCTTGGGCCCAGGGGTTCAAGGTTACATTGAGCTATGATTGCACCAGTGCACTCTAGCCTGGGTGAGAGAATAAGACCCTGTTTCTAAAATATATACATATTTTTATATCAGACAGGTAATATGCTGAGGTCATAACATGGTTTGAGGGAGGCACATATTACACGTGTGCAAAAACCCAATCATCATGCTTATGAACTATAAAAGGATCAAAGATACTATTTTTTTAGTGCAAAATTTCAAACATACACAAAAGTAAAAGAAGAGTACAATAGGCTAGGCGCGGTGGCTTACCTCTGTAATCCCAGCACTTTGGGAGGTCGAGGCGGGTGGATTACCTGAGGTCAGGAGTTCGAGACAAGCCTGGCCAACGTGGTGAAACCCTGTCTCTACTTAAAATACAAAAGAAAAAATTAGCCGGGTGTGTGGTGGAGCGTGCCTGTACTCCCAGCTACTCGGGAGGTTGAGGCAGGAGAATCGCTTGAACCCAGGAGGTGGAGGTTGCAGTGAGCTGAGATTGTGTCACTGCACTCTAGTCTGGGTGACAAAGCGAGACTCCGTCCCAAAAAAAAAAGAAAGAAGAGAAAAGAAGAATACAATAAACTCCTATTACCCAATATCTGGTTTCAATAATTACTAATACACTGTCAACCTTATTTCATCTATACTATATATGCTCTATTCCTTCCTTATCATCATTTTTTTTAATTATTATTTTGAGACAGAATCTCGTTCTGTCACCCAGGCTGGAGTGCGATGGTGGGATCTCGACTCACTGCAACCTCCACCTCCCAGGTTCAGGCGATTCTTCTGCCTCAGCCTCCCGAGTAGCTAGGATTACAGGCGCTTGCCACTGCACCTGGCTAATTTATATATATATATATATTTTTGTTGTTGTTGTTGTTTTTGAGACGGAGTCTCACTCTGTTGCCCAGGTGGGAGTGCAGTGGCACGATCTTGGCTCACCGCAACCTCTGCCTCCTGGGTTCAAGTGATTCTCCTGCCTCAGCCTCCCAAATAGCTGGGACTACAGGCACGTGCCACCACGCCCGGCTAATTTTTGTATTTTTAGTAGAGATGGGGTTTCACCATGTTGGCCAGGCTGGTCTCGAACTCCTGACCTCAGGTGATCTGCCCGCCTTGGCCTGCCAAAGTGCTGGGATTACAGGTGTGAGCCACCGTGCCCGGCCAATTTTTGTATTTTTAGTAGAGATGGGGTTTCACCATCTTGGCCAGGCTGGTCTTGAACTCCTGACCTTGTGATCCACCCGACTCAGCCTCCCAAAGTGCTGAGATTACAGGCTTGAGCCACTGTGCCCTGCCCAGTCTTAGATTTTTATTACCCCCAAATTTTGCCTCCTGGCTGTTTACATTGTCTTCTCTTCTAATCCCAAACTCAGGCAACCACTAACCTGTTCTATTAATTTAATCACCCTAGAGCTGTTCATCTTCCTGCTGCTGCCCAGATGAAAGTTCCGGGATTTCCCTTAACTTTAAACACTTAAAAGTAAAATAATCCCGTGGATTAGGATTACGATCGACAGGGTTATTTTACTTTTTCTTTCTGTGCTAAATCTCTTATTTCCTGGATCCCGTGTCGTCTTCTTTCTTGGTTTTATCCTCCTTTTTCAGGGCGCATCTCTTTCAACAGATTCCTGAGAATAGTTGCCAGGGTGCATTATCACTACATAACTACATTTTTTTTTTTGTCTTTTTCTTTTTTTTGAGACAGAGTTTCGCTCTTGTCGCCCAGGCTGGAGTGCACTGGCACGATGTCCGCTCACTGCAACCTCCGCCTCCCGGGCTCGAGCTATTCTCCTGCCTCAGCCTCCTGAGTAGGTGGGATTACAGGCGCCCACCACTATGCCCAGCTTTTTGTATTTTTAGTAGAGACAAGGTTTCACCATGTTGGCCAGACTGGTCTCAAACTCCCGACCTCGGGTGATCTGCCCGCCTTGGCCTCCCAAAGTGCTGGGATTACAGGCGTGAGCCACCACGCCTGGCCCCACTTAAAAAAAAAAAAAAAAGACGGAGTTTCGCTCTTGTTGCCTAGGCTGGAGTGCAATCCCACGATCTCGGCTCACCACAACCTCCGTCTCCTGAGTTCAAGCGATTCTCCTGCTTCAGCCTCCTGAGTAGCTGGGATTACAGGCATGCACCACCACACCTGGCTAATTTTTGTATTTTTAGTAGAGACAGGGTTTTACCATGTTGGTCAGGCTGGTCTCAAACTGCTGACCTCAGGTGATCTGCCCGCCTCGGCCTCCCAAAGTGCTGGGATTACAGGCGTGAGCCAAGGCACCCAGCCCTAATTTTTGTATTTTTAGTAGAGACAGGGTTTCACCATGTTGGCCAGACTGGTCTCCAACTCCTTATCTCGTGATCTGCCTGCCTTGCCTTGAGCCACTGCGCCCAGCCCACAAGTGCACTTTTAATGTTATGGACTCTACTATTTTTTATGACTTCCAGAATATGCTATAACTTACACCCCATAGTTTAATATTCCCAATTGAACATTTTCTTCCAATATCTGTATTAAGAAAACTGCAAGGGGTGTCTTTGTCACACTTAGTGAGGATTTCCGCAGGCTAGAGTCCTACAAGGGGAATTGCTGGGGCAGAATGTTAACTAGTTAGGTATGAGCAGAACAGGAGAGCGCTCCCCACCCCACACATACCAGGACTATTGGGTGACAATCAAACGATGGTCAGGCGGTTCTTAACTGTTTCTCTAACGTTCACCGGGGCCAGCGAAAGGCAGTCTCCTAATAGAAAACACCTGAAACTGATCAGTAGCTTCCCAGTAAGATCTCAGGAGTGGGGAGAAGCAATGCAAGTTCCCCAAAGTATGCCAACATATAAAACTTCAAGTCAACAGGTCAAGCTGCGCACTTGGTTTCTCAAGTCGCCTGCTTGGCAGTCTTCCAAGTTGTACTTTCCTCCTTTTCTTTCCGTCCCGTTCTAAAGCTTTTTGATAAACTTTTACTTCTATTCTGAAACTTGTCTAGGTCTATCCTGCCTTATGCCCTTCGTGGAATTATTTCTTCTGAGGAGGCAAGAACTAAGGTTACTGCTGACCCCTACCTATACAGGGGGTAACTGCCACCGCTAACAAGAAGGGGAGAATCAGCTTTTCTTTCTTTTTTTGAGACAGTAAAAGTCTGCTGTGTCGCGCGGCTGGAGTGCAGCTGCACGATCTCGGCTTACTGTAACCTCCGTCTCCCGGGTTCAAGCGATTCTCCTGCCTCAGCCTCCCGAGTAGCTGGGACTACAGGCGCGCGCCACCACGCCCGGCTAATTTTTGTATTTTTAGTAGAGAAGGGGGTTTCACCATGTTGCCCAGGCTGGTCTCGAACTGCTAACCTCAAGTGATCTGCCCTCCTCGGCCTCCCAAAATGCTGGGATAAAGACATGCGCCACCGCGCCCGGCCGAGAATCAGCTTTTCTCTCACATCTGATCTTTCCGTGTGTTAAGGCAGAAGCAAGGCACGGTGGGCTGAGACTCACACGCCCCCTCTTTCCTCCCCGGCCTAACGCACTCTTCTTTCTGTCCCACCACGTGCTGTGTTCGCGAGTCCCCATCACTCCTGCATCCAAACCGACTAGATTTTTGTTTCCATTTCCCTCCCGGAAAAGGCGGGACAGCGAAGACTGGCGTTTCCGCCGCTGAGGGGCTGAGGCCGGGAGGGCGCAGCGTAGCCGTCCCGAGCTGATGACGTCAAACGCCGTGTGCTCACCCACGTGTGGTGCCCCTCTCCCGGTGTAGGCGCTGGAGCTGAGGACGCCTTTCCTGCGGGCGTAGTTGCTGGCTGCTCGGGCACTGGGACCTCGGCGGCTTGGGGACGCTGGCCGCGAAGTAGGGAGCGCAGGTGGCCGCTCGGGGTGAGGGCCCTGGGTCATGGAGCACTTCTTGCTGGAGGTGGCAGCCGCGCCGCTGCGGTTAATCGCAGCCAAGAACGAGAAGAGCCGCAGTGAGTTGGGCAGGTTCTTGGCCAAGCAGGTAAGACGTGAAGGGAGAGGGAAAGCGCCGGAACGACTGGGTCGCCCCACTAGTAAGCTTCCTGCGCTCCCCCGCCGATACTCGCCGCTTTAAGTGGGGAGTGGTGCAGCCTCAGGTCAAGCTGGCCCCCTCCTGTGGGCTGGCGCAGGTCGTGGAGGTTTCCGAGCGTGTTTGAGGCGATTGGAAGGAGTCTTTTGTTTTTATCTGGGGGAGCCTTCCAGTACCCTTCCCATCGCCTCTCACCCCTATGCAAGCGCTTTGGCTGCTTGTGGCAGAGGTGGCCTTCCCAAAGGAATGTGGTTTGTTTTTCTGAAATTGAGGTTGCGTTTCTGCCGTTTTGACAAGTGTACGTATCACCTAAGTGTGCGTAGTGCAGCCACTCCTGTTAGTTTGGGGAACCATCGACAAATACTGATTGCATTCCTGCTGTGCGTAAGGAACGGTGTGGCGCTGTGAGAAAGTGGATAGATAAATTCGTTACGATCTCTGCCATGAGGGAAATTTGCATCTGTTTTTGGAGACAGTTCGTAAACACTTACAACAGCTGAAGTACAGAGCAAGACAGCTCATACTCACTGTAACTAACTATACAAATTATAAGGTTAATTAGAGTTTTCTGGGAAATAGGTCTTCGGGCTTTTAAGAACCTTCTCATTGACTCCTTCTATCTGAGTTGAAGACACTTTTTTTTTTTTTTTGAGACGGAGTCTCGCTGTGTCGCCAGGCTGGAGTGCAGTGGCGCGATCTCGGCTTACTGCACCCTCCGCCTCCCGGGTTCAGGCGATTCTCCTGCCTCACCCTCTCAGTAGCTGGGATTACAGGCGAGCGCCACCATGCCTAGCTACTTTTTGTATTTTTAGTAGAGACGGGGTTTCACCATGTTGGCCAGGATGGTCTCGATCTCTTGACCTCGTGATCCACCCGCCTCAGCCTCCCAAAGTGCTGGGATTACAGGCGTGAGCCACGGGACAGGTGAGTGTGGTCCCAGGTACTTGGGTCCCAGGTGTGGCTAATTAAAAAAAAAATTTTTTTTTTGTAGTTGTAAGGTCCCCCTTTGTTGCCCCGACTGGTCTGGAACCCCTGGGCTCAAGTGATCATCCCGCCTTGGCCTCCCAAAGTGCAGGGATTGTAGGAGTGAGCCACCGTGTCCGGCCTAAATTTTTTTTTTTTTTTTTTTTTTTTTTTGAGACGGAGGCACGCTCTGTCGTCCAGACTGGAGTGCAATGGCCCACCCTCTCAGCTCACTGCAACCTCCGCCTCTCGAGTTCAAGCGATTCTTCTGTCTCAACCTCCCGAGTAACTGGGATTACAGGCGTGCGCCACCATGCCTGGCTAATATTTTGTATTTTTAGTAGAGACAGGGTTTCACTGTGTGGGTCAGGCTGGTCTCAAACCCCTGATCTCAGGTGATCCACCCGCCTTGGCCTCCTAAAGTGCTGGGATTACAGGCATGAGCCACAGCGCCCTGCCCTGAAGTATTTTTTTTGATGTATCTCAAGCCCAATTGTTCTGGGGAGTGGGGCCAATTTTGCTCCCAGGGACAAATCTGGAGACCTTTATGGTTATCACAACTATTCATTATGGGGGTGCTACTAGCATCTAGTGCATCAAGGCCAGGGACGCTGCTAAGCATTCTGTTATGTATGGGACAACCCCTTACAACAGTTATCCGTCGTAAATGGCAGTGGTGCAAAATTAAGAAAGAAACCCTGCCCCAGACTGGTTGTTTACTTTCTGCTCAGGGCTTGCTATTTCAGCAACACTAAACTGCCTGCAATGACCACAGGTTGTTACCCTCTACTATTGTTGACTGGAGTCACCTCCCGTTGTTAATGTCTGTTGTTATTGTCTGGGCCATTCCTTGCTGTTACTTGCCTCATTGACTTTGCATTTCCTTTCCTTAGAAGGCTACATCTCTCTTCTATGCCCTGCTCAGTTAACTTGTTTGTTCTGGAAGACTGCTTTTGAAATGGTCTTCCCCAGGAAGACTTTTCTGACTTTACCCTTTCCTCTTCCTCTTAATCTTTGTTTCAACTAACTGATTCTCAGTAGTTGATTGAGAGTATGTCCAGAGAAGGGGATTGTGTAGCTGTAGTGTCCAATACAGTGTCTGATATGCAGTAGGCAGTAAATGTTTATTGACTGTATTAACAGATTAAGGTACTCCCAAATTGTGATACTTTTGTCAATGAAAAGTGTCAAACTCTAAAATATTCTAAGAGATTTATTCTGAGCTAAATGTGAGTGACCATGGCTCATGACACAGCCCCAGGAGATCCTGAGAAAATGTGCCCAAGGTGGTCGGGCTACAGCTTGGTTTTATACATTTTAGGGAGACCTAAGCCATCACTCAGTACATGTAAGATGTACATTGATTTGGTCTGGAAAGCTGGGACAACTCGAAGGGTGAGGGGGGCGGTCTTCCAAGTCACAGGTGGATTCAAAGATTTGCTGACTGGCAATTGGGTGAGAGTTCATTTAAATCCCTGGAATCAGTAGAATGGAGTGTCTAGGTTAAGATAGGGGTGTGGAGGCTGGGCACAGTGGCACGCGCCTGTAATCCCAGCACTTTGGGAGGCTGAGGCGGGTGGATCACAAGCTCAGGAGATCGACATCATTCTGGCTAACATGGTGAAACCCTGTCTTTACTAAAAATATGAAAAATTAGCTGGGCATGGTGGCGGGCACCTGTAGTCCCAGCTACTCAGGTGGCTGAGGCAGGAGAATGGCGTGAACCCGGGAGGTGGAACTTGCAGTGAGCTGAGATCGCACCACTGCACTCCAGCGTGGGTGACAGAGCGAGACTCTGTCTCAAAAAAAAAAAAAAAAAAAGATAGGGGTGTGGAGACCAAGGTTCATATTATGCAAATGAAGCCTCCAGGTAACAGGTTTCAGAGAGAACAGATTGCAAATGTTTCTTTTTTTAAAATTTTTATTATTTTTTAAAGAGATAGGATCTTGCTTTGTTGTCCAGGCTGGTCTAGAACTCCTAGGCTCAAGTGATCCACCTACCTCAGCCTCCCAAAGTGCTGGGATTATAAGCCTAGCCTGTAAATGATTTTTTTTTTTCCCCCAAATGCAGTCTCCTCACCCCCGCCCCTAGACGGAGATGGAGTCTTGCTCTGTCACCCAGGCTGGACTGCAGCGGCGCGATCTCAACTCACTGCAACCTCTGCCCCCTGGGTTCAAGCAGTTCTCCTGCCTCAGCCTCTCGAGTAGCCGGGATTACAGGCACCTGCCACTGCGCCTGGCTAATTTTTGTATTTTTAGTAGAGACGGGGTTTCACCATGTTAGCCAGGCTGGTCTCGAACTCCTGACCTCAGGTGATCCACCCGCGTCGGCCTCCCAAAGTCCTGGGATTACAGGTGTGAGCCGCTGCGCCCAGCCACAAAACAGTCTTTATTATGAGAAAGCAGTGTTATCTAGTCTTTATTATAAGAAAGCAATGCTATCTGGTTTCTTTCTAATAAAATAAAAGCAGTTTTCTTAAATAATTTACAAAGGGCAGAAATTGCTCTTGAACAGGGCTACCCCTCCTGGCACACCCACAGTGCTCTGCCTTGAACATATAAATAGGTACCTGTGAGCCCAGGGTTTAAGCCTGGAACTATCTCCTATGCCTTCCTCCAGGTCCCTGGTAGGGAAAGCAGGGATGAGAGTGGTGCCCCCAAGGGCCTTGGCACTGGAAACACAGTGGGCGAGTGACTCTGTGGATGACTCCCCAAAAACCAAGCACCTGGTTTGAGTTCAGAGCTCTCAAACATCTGATGCCAGCTCTTCACATTGTAGATGAAGCAAATACCAGGCTCAAGGTCAAGTATACGATGCATTACTAAACCCAAGAGTCCCCTTGGGGAGTAGAAGGAACAATTCTCCCCACCTCTGCAAGATCTCCCCAAGACACTCTCAGGCTGTGGCAGGCAGTCACTGATGGGTCCAGATGTGGCTGGAGCAGGGGGGCTCTGGGCTCCTTGCTAGTCAGGTCTTTGTTAGCAGTGGCCCAGGGGTACTGATGACTCCTGGGAGCTTCCGCCAGGAAGCTCATGGGGAAGCACAGACATTCTGGGGTACGAAGCCTTGGTGGTCAGACAGGGCTTGTTTCCTGCAGGGCACTTCCTCAGTCATGAATGAGAGTGTCATTTCACCACTCTCTTCCGCCATAATGGCTTCATCCAGCTCTTGGGACAGCTTCTGGAGATGCCGAATTCCTGCTCCCCATAGGTGCTAGGTCACTATCAGATGCGCTGGGAGAGCAGAGGAGCTCTGTCAAGGAGTAGGGGCTCTGGAAGGCAGTCTCCCGCCTCCACTGCCGTAGAGGGTAGGCACGTGAGCCTGTCCAGGTAGAGAGGTGGTGATGCACAGGGGTCTGTAGCTGAGTGGTCAGGGGCAGCTCCATACAGCTGAATCCTCTTCTGGCTCAGGCTGTGAGTTGGGGAGACACTGCTCTCCCTTTTGTACCCCTTTCTTCCTCCTCCTGGCCTTCACCTGGGTCTCCACCAGACACTTGGTGCTACTTTGGCAGGACTCCTGGATTCTCTGTGACATGGCACCCAGGGTGCTCTTAGCTGAGCGAGCTGCAGCCTGGAGTCTCTTACTGCCCTGACCCTGGTTTCTAGGGGTTTCTAGGAGGTACCTGTCCGGAGGTTGAGGTTGACGGCTCTTAGGGGCAGCCTTCTTTGGAACTGTCTGCACAGAGAACCCAGGGCCCTGGCGGAGATCTCCCAATGGCTAACCATAGGCTGCCGCTCCTTGCTGTCCAGCGGCTGCTCCTGGTGCTGGAGAGATCTCCGGTGCATGGAGGCCCTCGCATCCTGCCACTGAGAAACCATCTGTCTGGCCAAGAGTCTACTCTGCCCACTAGACCTCAACACCCCCAACATGTGCCTGAAGCCGAGCACTGTAAATGTTAAATGTTTCTTATAAGACTTAAAGAGACAACTTTGCAGGGCCATTTCAAAATTTGTCAAAGCTATATATTTTGGGCCAGATGTGGTGGTTCATGCCTGTCATCACAGCACTGTTGGAGGCTGAGGGAGGAGGATTGTTTGGACCCAGGAGTTTGAGACCAGCTTGGGCAACATAGCAGAGAGACTCTGTCTCTACCAAAAAAAAAAAAAAAAGGAGGGGGATTAAAGAACACCTGAAATACTTCTTTCAGGGTTTGCTGTCTGTCATATTTGTATCTTATTGCTACTAGTAATCTGTTTTGTCAGTCCTAAGGTCTCTGTTTTAATGTTAATGCTGGTTAGCTGTGCCAGAATTCTGAAGGGAAGAGAGTATAATGAGGCGTGTCTGACCACCCATTCCCAGCATGGCCTGAACTAGTGTTTCAGGTTTACTTTAGAATGCACTTGACTGAATGGAGAAGGATTCACCTTCATTCAGTTGGTTGGGGGGGCTTAGAATTTTATTTTTGGTTTATGCTTTCTTTTTTATTTTTTAAGACAGGATCTGGAGAGCAGTAGCCTTGACATCCTAGGTTCAACTGATCATCTTACTTTAGGACCCTCCCCATCCCCTCCAGTAGCTGGAACTATAGGCATGCCACCGCGTCTGGCTAATTTTTTTTTTTTTTTTTTTAAATCTTAGGTAGAAACAAGGTCTTGCTGTGTTGCCTAGGCTGGTCTCAAACTCCTGGGCTCAAGCAGTCCTCCCACCTTGGCCACCCAAAATGCTGGAATTACAGGCATACTTACTTAGTTTTGGCAGAACATAGCTTTAACTTTCAGTGTTTTAAGCAAATGATGAGAGTGATGATGCTTTAATGCTTCCCCTGCCCGAAACAGTGTCTCCTTTTATTGCCTGGGCTAGCGTACAGTGATCATAGCTCACTTCAGCCTTGACCTCCTGGGCTCAAATGGTCCTCCCACCTCATCCTTCTGAGTAGCTGGGACAACAGGTGCACAATACCATGCCTGGCTAATTTCTTTCTTTTTTGTTTTTTTTTTTTTTTTTGAGACAGAGTCTGCTCTGTCACCCAGGCTGGAGTGCAATGGCATGATCTTGGCTCACTTCAACCTCCGCCTCCTGGGTTCAAGCAATTCTCCTGTTTCAGCCTCCCAAGTAGCTGGGATTACAGGCACCTGGCACCATGCCCAGCTAATTTTTTGTATTTTTAGTAGAGATGGGGTTTTGCCATGTTGGCCAGGCTGCTTTTGAACTCCTGAACTCAGGTGATCCTCCTGCCTCGGTCTCCCGAAGTGCTGGGATTACAGGCATGAGCCACGGCGCCCAGCCTTGCCTGGCTAATTTCTAAAAAAAATTTTGTGGCCGGGCACGATGGCTCAGGCCTGTACCAGCACTTTGGGAGGCCGAGGTGGGCAGATCACCTGTGGTTGGGAGTTCGAGACCAGCCTGACCAACATGGAGAAACCCCTTCTCTACTAAAGATACGAAATTAGCCGGGCGTGGTGGCGCATGCCTATAATCCCAGCTACTGGGGAGGCTGAGGCAGGAGAATCTCTTGAACCTGGGAGGCAGAGGTTGTGGTGAGCCGAGATCGCGCCATTGCACTCCAGCCTGGGCAACAACAATGAAACTCCGTCTCAAAAAAAAAAAAAAATTTTTGTAGAGATGGGGAGTCTCACTTTGTTGCCCAGGCTGGTCTTGAACTCTTGGGCTCAAGCTATCCTCCCACCTTGGCCTACCAAAGTGTTGGGATTGCAGGTAGGAGCCACCGCACCCAGCCTAATTGCTTAGGTTTTATAGAGTAGTTTAGGAATTGTTTCTCTTTAGCTGAAAATACACATTTCAGCCGATACATGTAATTATAAATAATAACACTGAGGTTATCCTTTTAATTAACTCTGCTTTGAGAAGGGCTAACTGATCAGTTAGCAGTTGCCTTATCCTTTTAATTAACTCTGCTTTGAGAAGGGCTAACTGATCAGTTAGCAGTTGAATATGACAGTGTAGTAATTTCATTACTCAAAACAGTAAAAACTCAATATGTTAAGCATACAGACATACAAATATGAAGACTTTTTTTCCTTTTCTATTTTTGTTGGCTAATTATTGGGAAATTGATGAATTTTGTTATAGCAAAGGAACGGAATTGGTTAGTATTTTTGGTGGGAAGAGAAGAGCTGAGCCACCTTAAAAATATTTTTTCCTGGCCGGGTGCAGTGGCTGAGCTCAGACAATCTACCTGCCTCGGCCTCCCAAAGTGCTGGGATTATAGGTGTGAGTAACCACACCCGGCCAATAAAAATGTTTTTTCTTGGCTGGGCGCGGTGGCTCACGCCTGTAATCCCAGCACTTTAGGGGGCCAAGGTGGGCGAATCACGAGGTCAGGAGTTTGAGACCAGCCTGGCCAACATAGTGAAACCCCGTCTCTACTAAAAATACAAAAATTAGCCGGGTGTGGTGGCGCATGCCTGTAATCCCAGCTACTCGGGAGGCTGAGGCAGGAGAATTGCTTGAACCCGGAAGGCGGAGGTTGCATGAACCGAGATCAGGGCACTGCACTCCAGCCAGGGCAATAGAGCGAGACTCCATCTCAGAAAAAAAAAAAAAGTTTTTTCTTGTATTTGTTAAGTAATCAGTATTCTTCAGCTTTCCTCATACTTGCTTGTATCCCAGCTACCTAAATAAAACCCATTTAAGCTTCACAGAATGTTAAGAGAAGTGAGAAAATACAAAGGTGTAGCCAGGAGGAATGCAGTCCTTTCCCTTTTCCAGTGGGTCCCAGTCTCCCAAGAAGAAAGGCAGGATTTCCTAAGAATGTTATGGGAGTAATCACAGGTTTAAGAAGTAAATCCTGGCTGGTTGCGGTGGCTCACACCTATAATCCCAGCACTTTGGGAGGCTGAGGTGGGCAGATCACGAGGTCAAGATATTGAGACCATCCTGGCCAATATGGTGAAACCCCATCTCTACTAAAAATACAAAAATTAGCTGGGCGTGGTGGCACACTCCTGTAGTCCCAGCTACTTGGGAGGCTGTGGCAGGAGAATTGGTTGAACTGAACCCGAGAGGGACGCGGAGGTCACAGTGAGCCGACATCGTACCACTGCACTCCAGCCTGGCGACAGAGTGAGACCCTATCTTAAAAAAAAAAAATAAAAAGAAGTAAATCCTTTAACATTCATTGTCCTGTTTTTATTTCCTACAATAGCAAGCCAGCTGACATGGTCAAAGATGCTTTGATTAGCAAGACCCCTGGGCTTACAGAAGGAGAAAACTGATTATGTAGTTTTCCTATAACCCCCACCCACCCGCTAGATACTTACAGGTATCCTAGCCTAGCTGATCCCTTTTCTTGCAGGCCTGGCATTTACCCTTTCATGGGTTTTAGTAAAACATTTATAATTTTTTAAAACTTCATTAACTAGTAGTATTCATGCAGAATACTAGGAGAATTCAGGAAAGCACCACCCATATTGTGGGTTAAATTGTGTCTGTCAAAAATATACTTAGAAGTCCTAGTCTATAATACCTGAATGTGACCCTATTTGGAAATGAGGTCTTTGCAGATGTAATAAAGTCAGGATGAGATAATTAGATAGGGCCTTAATCAATATGACTGTTTCTCTTTCGCCCAGGCTTGAGTGCAGTGGTGCAATCTCAGCTCATTGCAACCTCCGCCTCTTTGGTTCAAGCAATTCTCCTGCCTCAGCAGCTGGGATTACAGGTGTGTGCCACCATGCCCAGCTAATTTTTGTATTTTTAGTAGAGATGTGGTTTCACTATATTGGCCAGGCTGGTCTCTAACTCCCGACCTCAAGTGATCTGTCCACCTCAGCCTCCGAGAGTGCTGGAATTACAGCCGTGAGCCACCACACCCAGCACAATATGACTGTTCTTATGAGGAGAGAAAGACATAAAGGGAAGATGGCCATGTGGCGATGACAGAAATACATATTGGAGTGATAAATCTGTGAGACAAGGAACAGCAGGGATTGATGATGACAACCAGAAGCTAGGAAGAGGCAAGGAAGGATTCTCCCCTATAGGTTTCAAAGGAATATGGCCTTGCTGACACCCTGATCTTGGACTTCCAAACTTTAGAATTGTGAGACAACACATTTCTGTTTTTTTAATTTGTTTTTTGTTTTGTTTTGTGTTTTTGAGACAGAGTCTCACTCTGTTGCCCAGGCTAGAGTACAGTGGCACGATCTCGGTTCACTGCACCCTCTGCTTCCCGGGTTCAAGCGATTCTCCTGCCTCAGCCTTCCTGGTAGCTGGGACTACAGGCACCCGCCACCATACCCGGCTAATTTTTGTATTTTTAGTAGAGACGGGGTTTCACCGTATTGCTCAGGCTGGTCTCGAACTCCTGACCTCAGGTGATCCACCCACCTCAGCCTCCCAAAATGCTGGGATTACAGGCGTGAGCCACTATACCCGGCCTTGTTTTTTTTTAAGTCAGTTTGTGGTATTTTGTTATGACAGCTCCAGGAAATTAATACATGTAAGAAAAACATTCAGTCAGGGACTGCCCATATTAATATTTTGATATATAATCTTCCAAACTTAATTTTTTTTTTTTTTTTTTTTTTTTTTTTTTTTTAGTGAAACGGAGTCTCACTCTGTTGCCTAGGCTGGGGTATAGTGGTACAATCATGGCTCACTGCAGCCTCTACCTTCCAGGCTCAGGTGATTTCCCCCAACTCTAGCCTCATGAGTAGTAGGGACTACAGGCATACACCACCAAGCCTGGCTAATTTTTTATTTTATTTTATTTTATTTTATTTTATTTTATTTTATTTTATTTTATTTATTTATTTTGAGAGGGAGTCTTGCTCTGGCACCCAGGCTTGAGTGCAGTGGCAGAATCGTGGCTTACTGCAACCTCTGCTTCCTGGGTTCAAGCGATTCTCCTGCCTCAGCCTCCCGAGTAGCTGGGACTACAGGTATATGCCATAATGCCCGGCTAATTTTTGTGCCTTTAGTAGAGATGGGGTTTCGCTATGTTGGTCAGGCTGATCTTGAATTCCTGACCTCAAGTAATCCACCCGCCTTGGCCTCCCAAAGTTCTGGGATTACAAGAGTGAGCCACTGCACCCAGCCAAGCCTGGCTAACTTTTGTATTATTTGTAGAGATGGGGTTCTGCCATGTTGCCCAGGCTGGTCTCAAACTCCTGGGCTCAAGTGATCTGCCTGCCTTGGCCTCCCAAAGTGCTGAGATTACAGGTGTGAACCACTATGTTCAGTCTTGTATATATAGTCTTTTCTCTATAAATCTGGGAAGATAAAATAAAAAGTTTTAAATATATATGAAGCTATGCAAACAGTGCTGTAAAAGAGTCAAATATACATACTTCTTTTTTTTTTTTTTTTTTTTTTTTGAGACAGTGTCTCACCTGTCACCCAGGCTGGAGTGCAGGGGCACGATCTCAGCTCACTGCACCCTCAACCTTCCGGGCTCAAGTGCTTCTGCCGCCTCAGCCTCCCTGGTAGCTGGGATTACAGGCTCCCACCACCATGTCCGGCTAATTTTTGTATTTTTAGTAGAGATGGGGTTTCAGCATGTTTCTCAGGCTGGTCTCAAACTCCTGAGCTTAGGTGATCCTCCTGCCTCGGCCTCCCAAAGTGCTGGGATTACAGGCATGAGCCACCGTGCCCAGCCAAATACATATACTTTTGTTCATGATAGAATAACTGGTACTGGATTAGCTCTGTTGCCAAAACAACTAGAAAAAGAGGAAAAAATCCATATGAAAAACGTTCAAACATTGGATGAAAGGTAGGTAGCATAGGATTGGAATTCCTAAAAATGGGAAACAAGGTGAGCCCTAGAATGATTCCAGCTGTCTACCTGGAATCACTTATAGGACTGACTCAGAGGAAGAACGAAGTTCAGCAGTGGTGGTCCTACTGAGCTGAGAAGACAGAGCTCAGAGTTGGGGCGGTAGTTGGAATATGCTGGGAAGGGTGTTGGAATGGAGGGAACAGCTCTAGGGATATGGGGTCTGGTGAGTACTGGCTGAATGTAAAGCTGTGTCTTCTTAGGGAAATTTCGTGAGCTATGCAAAGAATAACTACTGGAGTTTTTCTGTGTAGGAGATGTTCAACTCCTACTAGTTGGAGTGGAACGACCAAGTTGAATACTGGCATAATTAGTGTGGAACCCAGAAGGGCCACACTCTAGGGCTAAATCAGCCCTCAAAGGCCTTTCTAGACCAATACTAACAAAACTTAAAAACAAGTCTTGAAAGGATCAAGCTGACCTACAAGCTGATTAACTGCCTGCTAGAACAAAGGAAGAGAGCAAAATCTAGACACATCTACAACGTTCAGCATCCGATTAAAAAAGTACTAGATATAGGAAAAGGAAAATGGTGGCTCATTGCCAGGAGAAAAGTCAGTCACTGCAACAGACCCCAAAATAATAAAGATATTTAAATTAATAAACAAGGACTTTAAAAAGTGATTATATAATGATATGAATGTTCGGGAAAAAAAAAAAGAAAAAAGTGATTATAGGCTGGGCCAAGAGGAACCACTTGAGGCCAGGAGTTTGTGATCAGTCTGAGCCTGGGCAACAAAGTGAGATCCTGTCACTCTCAAAAACATAAAAAAATAGTAATTATATGTGCAGGGACTTGAAGTTTCGGAAACATAAACATAATGAGAGAAATTTAAGCTATGAAAAAAAACAAGTGAAACCAAAAAATACCATCTTAGCAATGAATATTTTACTGGATAGGCCTCATTGAAGATTAGACAGTTCACAAGAAACGAACATTGAATTACAAGATACGGCAATAGAAATTATCTAGGCTTAAACAGACAGGGTGGGAAAAAGCCAGAATAAAAATGCTTCAGTGATCTGTGAGGCATTATCAACTAGTCTACTGTATGTGTAATTGGAATTACAGGAGGAGGGAGAGAAGAGAAACAGTAGAAATATAAAAAGATAATCTCAAAATTTCTAAAGTTGGTGAAAAATAATTCACAGATCCCAAAAACTCATAATCTTAAATCTGATAAACACAAAACCACACCAAGCCACATCATGATCAAGTTGCTAGAAACAAGTAATAAATAACATCTTAAAAATTGCCAGAAAAAAAGACACTTTACTTGTAGAGGAGCAAAGATAAAAATGACTGCTGACTTCTTAACAGAAACAACACAATGAAACATCTTTCAAAATGCTGAGAAAAACCATAAACCCCCTTGCGTGGTGGCGCATGCCTGTAATCCCAGCACTTTGGGGGCTTAGGTAGGTGGATCTCTTGAGCCCAGGAGTTCGAGACCAGCCTGGGCAATGTGCTGAAACCCTGACTGTAGTAAAAATACAGAAATTAGCCAGGCATGGTAGTGTGTGCCTGTAGTCCCAGCTACTTGGCAGGATGAGGCAGGAGGATCCCTTGAGTCTGGGAAGTCGAGGCTGCAGTGAGCTGATATCAAAGAACTCCAGCCTGGGTGACAGAGGGAAACCCTGTCTCCAAAAAAATAAAATAAAAAACAAAACAATGTTTGCTTAAGACAGGATTTTGTATGTAAAAAGTCTTAAGAAATCTTCAAAATAAAGAATTTCATAAGATCACAGGATACCAGGTCAATGTATAAAAATGAGTTATATTTTTATATTTAAGATTATTGGGGAATGAAATTTATATTTTATGTATTTTATTTTTAAGAGAGTCTCATTCTGTTACCCAGGCTGGAGTGCAGTGGGCACGATCATGGCTTAGTGCAGCCTCGAACTCCTAGGCTGTGAGGTGATCCTCTCCTCACTCTCCAGAGTAGCTGGGACTGTAGATGCACACCGTCACCAGCTAATTAAAAAAAAAAAAATTTTTTAATTAAGCTTTTTTTAAAAATTTTTTTATTGAGGTGGAGTCTCACTCTATCTGTTGCCCGGGCTGGAGTGCAGTGGTGCATTCTCAGTTCACTGCAACCTCCGCCTCCTGGGTTCAAGCCGTTTTCCTGCCCCAGCCTCCCAAGTAGCTGGGATTACAGACACACACCAGCACACCTGGCTAATTTTTTGTATTTCTAGTAGAGACAAAGTTTCACCATGTTGGTCAGGCTGGTCTCAAACTCCTGACCTCAAGTGATCCACCACCCTCTGCCTCCCAAAGTGCTGGGTTTATAGGCGTGAGCCACCACTCCTGGCCACACCAGCTAATTTTTAATTTATTTTTATTTTTTTGAAGAGATGGCATCTTACCACATTGCCCAGGTTGGTCTCGAACTCCTGGCCTCAAGTGATCATCTCACCTTGGCCTCCCAAAGTACCACCATGTCTGACCAGTTTTCTTTGGATATGTTTCTTTCCTCTGCAATGTAACTTACTTTATTATTTAAAAAATGGGGCCGGGCACAGTGGCTCACACCTGTAATCCCAGCACTTTGAGAGGCCAAGGCAGGAGGATTGCTTGAGCTCAGGAGTTTGAGATCAGCCTGGGCAACATAGTGAGACCCCCATGTCTACAAAAATAAAATAATCAGCTGGGCGTGGTGGCACACACCTGTAATCCTAGCTACTTAGGGGACTCAGTTGGGAGGATTGCTTGAGCTTGGGAGGGTGCGCCTGCAGTGAGCTGTGATTTTACCACTGTACTTCAGTCTGGGCGACAGACCAAGACCTTGTCTCAAAAGAAAAAAAAAAGGTATCTTTAGAGGGCTTGTTTATGCGGACATGCAGCAGTTGAAAATGTGAGATTTTGCTCCTATGTATCATGACCAAATCTGTTAAATTTCTTTGCCTCCATTTTTATGGAATCCTTCAGTTAACCTCCTATAAAGGACAGAACTAAGACTGATAGAAATTGTTTCAAGGTAACATTTTTCCCTAATCAGTGCTTTGATCAGAATCAAATGTTTTCATGAGAGAATGCTCTGTAATTGGAAGACTTTGTAAGAGCTCAGGTGTAAGGTGACTTTCTGGGTGATAATTTTGGCAAAACTCGTTAAATTTTGCGTATGACATTTATGCTGTGTTCAAGGTACACTTATATAGGTGACTAGGGTGAGCCTCCTCCTCATCCTTTTTTTGTTGTGGGGGGAGACAGGGCTTTAACTGTTTGTCACCCAGGCTGGAGTGCAGTGGCATGATCTCAGCTCACTGCAACCTCGACCTCCCAGGCTGAAGCTATCCTCCCACTTCAGCCACCTGAGGAGCTGAGACTACAGGCGCATGCCACCAAGCCTGGCTAATTTTTCTATTTTTTGTAGCGATGGGGTTTCACCATGTTGTCCAGGCTGGTCTTGAACTCGTCGGCTTAAGGGATCTGTCTGCTTCGGCCTTCCAAAGTGGTGGGATTACAAGCATGAGCCACCACACCTGGCCTGGGGTGAAACTTCTTAGGATAAACTGATAGCATGGGACTTGCAAGGTCAAAGGGCATGTCCCCATTTTAAACCTGATGTTACATTGCTGGGCAGAAACGGTTGTGCAGACCTGTATACACACTAGCAATATAATGCCTTTTATACAGTTTTCAGTTTTCCTTTGTATGCTTACCTGCATTCTGAACCCGGGCACTAGAATTTTTTTTTTTTTTTTTTTTTTTTTGAGACGGAGTCTCGCTGTCGCCCAGGCTAGAGTGCAGTGGCACGATCTCGGCTCACTACAGGCTCCGCCTCCCGGGGTTCACACCATTCTACTGCCTCAGCCTCCCGAGTAGCTGGGACTACAGGCGCCTGCCACCTCGCCCAGCTAATTTTTTTTGTATTTTTAGTAGAGACAGGGTTTCACCATGTTACAAGCCAGGATGGTCTCGATCTCCTGACCTCGTGATCCGCCTGCCTCGGCCTCCCAAAGTGCTGGGATTACAGGCGTGAGCCACTGCGCCCGGCCTAGAATTTTGTATTTTATTTCATCTTCCGTATCAAAGTGTTGCTGTCTACTTTGGATCTGTTTTTTGTTTATTTATTAGAGGCTGATGCCTTGA